>NC_000004.12:85133502-85285017 GCF_000001405.40 Homo sapiens | reverse complement strand
AACAAAACCTTAGGTCTGTAGAGAACTGACCAAAACCAAGTCTAGAGGCTCTCACTGGGGTCTCTCATGAATATGCTTATAATCAGATAACTATGACTTTTATTCTTCTTCAAGGATACAGAGGAGAAACTGCAGGAGAGTTCATCACAAATGATGAAAGAAACAGCATTCAGGCAAAACTACAAGGGATGGACAGTTAAAACTGCCTCCTTTTTCAACACTTTGCAGTTCAATAACTATATGTTAGAAAAACTACTCTTCAAACTGGGGTACAGAGTGATATGCCAGAGGTTATGCTTCCACAGGGTAAATAAAACACATCTTGCTTGAGCATTAATGGTAACAAAATTTTTAAATGTATTTCTGATCAAAACAAACATAGGTATAGCATTCAACAGAATATAAAATTGCAAATATTGTTGGATTATAAAAATAAATACCTGATGGAATGACATATGCATATAAAAATTATACAATTTTTTTATGGCTGGGCGCAGTGGCTCATGCCTGTAATCCCAGCACTTTGGGAGGCCAAGGCAGGCAGATCACGAGGTCAGGAGATCAAGACCATCCTGGCTAACATGGTGAAACTCTGTCTCTACTAAAAAAATACAAAAAAATTAGGCGGGCGTGGTGGTGGGTGCCTGTAGTCCCAGCTACTCAGGAGGCTGAGGCAGGAGAATGGTGTGAACCCGGGAGGCGGAGCTTGCAGTGAGCAGAGATCACACCACTGCACTCTAGCCTGGGTGACAGAGCGAGACTCCATCTCAAAATAAATAAATAAATAATACAATTTTTTGTTTCGCTTTTTAATTTTTTAATTTTTAAATTATACTTAATTTCTGGGATACATGTGCAGAACATGCAGGTTTGTTACACAGGTATACATGTGCCATGGTGGTTTGCTGCACCCATCAACCCGTCATCTACATTAGGTATTTCTCCTACTGCTATCCGTCCCCTAGTCCCCACCCCCCGACAGGCCCTGGTGTGTGATGTTCCACTCCCTGTGTCCATGTGTTCTCATTGTTCAACTCCCACTTATTAGTAAGAACATGCAGTGTTTTGTTTTCTGTTCCTGTGTTAGTTTGCTGAGAATGATGGTTTCCAGCTTCATCCATGTCCCTGCAAAGGACATGAACTCATCCTTTTTTATGGCTGTGTAGTATTCTGTGGTGTATATGTGCTGGATTTTCTTTAGCCAGTATCATTGATGGGCATTTGGGTTGGTTCCAAGTCTTTGCTATTGTGAACAGTGCTGCAATAAACATACATGTACATGTGTCTTTATAGTTGAATGATTTATAATCCTTTGGGTATATACCCAGTAATGTGATTGCTGGGTCAAATGGTATTTCTGGTCCTAGATCCTTGAGGAATTGCCACACTGTCTTCCACAATGGTTGAACTAATTTACACTCCCACCAATAGTGTAAAAGCATTCATATTTCTCCATATCTTCTCCACCATCTGTTGTTTCCTGACTTTTATATAATTTTTTAAGGAAATATGAGATAAAGAAGTTTTATAACTTTGGAGTAGTAATTTTATTACATCTGAGTCTTGGGCTTTCTGCAAGTGAGGGTCATTCCTCTTGACAGTTCTCCACTTTGGAGTTGTTTCGGTTATCTACTGCTATGTAAAAAACACTCCAAAACTTAGCAGTTTAAAATAATGATATATTAATTCTCACAGTCCTGTAAGTTGTCAATTTGAGCAGTTCTTTTAGTCTTACTTGGGATCACTCATGTACCTGCAGTCATCTGACGGCTTGACTTAAACAGGTCTGGCAGTTGGTGCTCGCTATCAACTGGTTCTCTTCTATTTGGCTTCTCACCCTCTAATGGACTTGGCTGGGTTCCTCACAGAATGGTGGTTTCAAGGCTCCAATAAGTTAAGAATAGGTGCTACAAGACCTCTTAAGTTCTAAGTACTTAAACTATGTCACTTCTACCACATTCTATTAGTCAAAGCAAGTCACTAGGCTTCCCCAGTTTCAACAGGTGTAGAAGTAAATCTTACCTCTTGATTAGAGGGGCTTCAGGGTCACAATGCCAAGGTGCACGGATACAGAGAAGTGTGATTCACTGCAGTCATGACAGTACCAATTTCCCACAAGAGTATTTCAATGAGTTAAGCAGATTCATCACTTCACAAGGCCTCAGAAATGAAAACCATTCACTTAAGTAAAAATAACACCAATTTATTTGGCCCTTAAAGCTTGATTGTATTATCACCTTGTTTGAGGTGTGGCCAACCGAGGAAAGGTTTTTTTTTGTCTAGCAAAGATATTGCCTCCAATTAAGGCAAAATCAGAAGAATGTGGGCAGCTACTAAGCTATTCCCTGAAAAGAGTATAAGTAGAAGGCAAAAATCCCAGATCTAATGAATACCAAATCAGAAAAACCAACATCATAATCTATAGAAATTTTAAAGATTATGAAACACGTAAAGCTTCCAATCTACACTATTTTTTATTCTTTGTTTCCCCAAATTTATTAGGAGTAAAAAAAATCATCTTTGGTGTACTTTTGTAGAAAGAGAAAGGTATGGGTAGCAGACCATTATCATTAAGTATTGATATTATTACGTTAAACGTTATCACTGTGTAATCAGACTTACAAGAAGAAAAATGACAAGAGACAGAGTGTACCAGAGCAGCTGTGAAAGTAAGGAGTACGTGGATAGTTGGCCTATGCCTTAGAAAGCAACCTGGAGAACAGACTTCAGTGAAGAATATGGTCAGCTAAAATTCACCAATACTAGTTTTCATGACTTTTCTCACAAACCCTTCTATCTTGGCCCCTCAGCTGCAGCTACATCAATAAAGCCCTGACATTATGCATTCTGAAGACGAGGCAGGTAAATTTTATTTTGGGGTGATTTAATCCAAATTATATTAGCTTTAAACACACACACACACACACACACACACACACACACAGAGAGAGAGAGAGAGAGAGAGAGAATAAACCATGCAAACTTTTAAATAGGAAATTTTATAATAGGAAAATACATTAATACATTAAGAAGTTAAATTTAGCATTAAGAGTGTCAGTGGGAACACTAATGCAAGAATGACATGTTTTCCAAACCTCAAGGCCTCACAAGGCTTCATCCTATATACTGTGTATGGCTGTTAACATTAAAGCATTGCAATTTGTAAATCACAACCAGTAGAAGCTATTTGCTCTCATTGTTACTCTAGATAATTTTGAATATTACTGTGCCAGTTTGACTACTACATTTTTGAGAAACTGCCTTTTCCTATTATTCTTTCCATGTAATGTGATAAAAAGAGAAAAGCCAGAAAAGCTGACATTCTTAAAATAAATTGGAAACTTCTCTTTTGATACTGTGGTTTTCTTTATTAATATTTAAATCACTTGCACACATACTTTATTATAATAGCCATCAGAATGATGTGAGAATTAATTGAAGCAACAGTTATACAGTGATTATGAAATATTTGCAATAAGGGTCAGCTGTACAGAACAGAGTACTTTACTCTCACTGTGTATTGTAGAAAATCTGAGTCTGCCTTTATAGTAAAAATAAGCCCAGAAAATTCATTTATGAAGGGGATACATGAAAAGAACTGAGCATATGCAAAAATACCACGCAGAATGTGTTGGCATTGAGATGAAAACTGTTCAAAAAGAAAGAAGAAAGGAGGCTTTAGTTCTTCTTAAATAATACTAGATGATGAGTTGCAAAATATAAAACCATTTAACTTGGAAGCTGTCTATGATATACAAATAACTGAATTGCAGAAATTCTTGATGTTCCTCAACAGCAGCCAAACTCAAAGTGGTTCCTAGCCTTCACACCCATTTTTCTCTTCCCATGTGGATCACGTGATTCACCCTTAAGGAATCAATTGCCTTTTTGGGGCCTTTACATCCAGGTAAAGATTTTCCAGATATAACTATCTACTAAGCTCATCTTCAGTGTAAGCATAGCTCCCTTTCCACAAAATTCTCTGTGATTGAACCGGATCCTCTTGTTACAATACCCTACTTCCTGTAATTCCCTTGCTGCCAACTGGATTGTAACCAGAAATGCCTGAAAACCTTGGACATTCCCTCATCTTGCCAAATTGATCTCCTAGTCAGGGATCTCTGCAGGTTATCAACTACCCCAGTGCTTGTCCAACTTCAGTGAGTAGATTTAGTAGTACTAAATCCTGCTCTATCTATGTCTCTCCAAATCCCAGGATATTATAGCGGGTATTAAGTTAAAATTTTTGAATGGATATTCACTGGCTACATATAAAACCCGACCTAAAAAATGGATGAGGAATGCATAGAGAAGAGTGAATAACCCTCCTTAATAGGAAACTTGAACAAGGAGAAAATCAAAATTATTGAACATGTGCACTCATTGAATTGAAAACAAAATGGTTTAAAGGCCTTGAAATACATAGTACTTGAAGACATGATTTCCTAAGTTTCTTATTTTAATCTTTTTATGAAAATATAAAGTAGATTTACCCATTGTAGAAAAATTATTAAGAAAAAATGAAACATGAGTTTACTCATCTTTAGTATATGCAATAGCATTACACTCTTGTTTCTTAATTAATGGTAAATTGAATTGAATCTTGCTCTGGACTGCATGTGAACAAATTATGACCTACTGACTGACTTTGACCCAGATATTTGTTTTACCCAATCCTTGGTCCCATTAAGGAAATCAGTAGTGCCTTTGCCAAGGGAAAATGCCACATTATCGCCAATACAGTGTTTCTTAATCAATGGCTGGTTTTCATGTTAATGATACTGTTGTCCATCTCTCACTGAGTGGGGATGGGGAAGGAAACTAATTGCTTGCTGTTCGATTTCATAAAAAATGTCATACTTTTGGATACTATAATTTATGAAAGAGTGATAGTGATAGTCTTAAAACCTTAGGTATCCTCAATGTTTTATTAAAGACTTTCTCTTGAAAGAAAGAGTCACTGGCTAAAGCTCCGGTCTGGCATATCATTTGTGGTCCATGATGACTGGCCTATCCTGACAAGTGAAGTTTAGCAACTTCTGGTGAACAAATGACATTTTAACTGAGGAAATAGAAAGCAAAATGTTGTTAAAGTCTGTATTGAAATATAATATGCCAACTATAGGCCATGACACAAAAGAGTTTGTTGAAGTCATTCATAAAAACACATTAGTCCTATGCATGAATATTACCACATGTTCACTTAATGCTATGCTGTCTGGAGTGACCTAATGCCTCAGCAGATATCTGAATGATTTTGAACTGATTAGCAACTACCTTTGATTGGGAACAGGAATTTATCTCCTCAGTTTCTTTTTGACAGCATTCTACAATTTTTTTTTATTTACTATTTTTGGGGACTAGACTTTAACAACTGTCAAATCATTTTTATTTGTTTTAGGAGACAGCTTTTGTTCTCTATGAATTACATTTCTTTTGATTTATAACCTTAAACAGAAGACAGTCTCCCACTCTTTGTACAGTTGTGAAAATAAGCATTCTTGGAATTGAAAAAAATGTGCATAGCTGGGAATAAAATAGTGGACACAGCAAAAACAACAAAAACAGCCCAACAAAACCCCAAAACAAAACTACACTGATCTTAGTCAGTACAAAGGAACTTATGTCTATAAAAGAAGTACTTGAAAATTAAAAACACAGAAAAAGTCTTTGAATATTTGGTAAATAAAATGCTTACAGACCAACAAAATATTGTACATACATTTCATTAGAGATTCTTAAAAATCAATGTGTTTTCCCATCACTTCTTCTCTCTAAATTAGTTAATTGGTGACAAGTTTTCTTGTAAAAAGAAATAAATTTTAGTATATCTCAAGGAATACTCAAGATTAACTCTTTTTTTTTAAGTAATGAAACACAAATCTTCTGACTTGTATCCCAGCATTTCATGGGTCATTTTATACTCACTTTAGATCCTCCACTAAGTTGCTTTTGTCTGGGTATGAAATCTTTTTGCCTGAATTCATTGACATCTGGAGTTTAGATCATCATCTAGAGAACATTACAGAATCTTAAATATTCAGTTAGATACTGTTCTGTGAGTAAGGGAGGGACATTTTACCCCTGCTCTCACACTATGACAATCAACACAGAAGACCTTTGTGACCAAATGACCCCACACAACAAGCAAGCAATACTGTAACTGACACCACCAGGGTGTCCTTTTATTCATCTGGACCTGGATATAGCATCAAATACCATAGGTTGAAGGCCCAATCTCTAAGACTGCTCCCATACTTCTGATGCCAATTGCAAGCTCAAGGTTATTTTGCCTGTGCTTCTCATTGACAGGCTGTAAATCAGGATTCCTGTGATCTCCTCCTTGGAGAACTCAAAGAACTTGCTAAAGCAGCTCATAGAACTCAGAGAAATACATTTACTGGTCTATTATAAAGGATATTACAAAGGATACAAATGAAATCATGCATAGGGTGAGGCATGGGGGAAGGGGCATGGCACTTCCATGCCCTCTCTGGACTCACCACCCTCCAAGAACTTCACATGTTCACCTATCCATAAGCTCTCTGAACCCTGTCCTCTTGAGCCTTTTATGAAGACTTCATTGGATAGATATGGTTGACAGCAGTGTAGAAATGTTATTGGACAAAAAGAATATGATTTAAACCCAGCAAGCCCTGTCCAGATTTTTCTTGGCTTCTCTGTGCAGCATTTCTTCCTTTAGAATATGGGGCAGGACCCTTTCTGAAATGGGGATCTTATGACCTATATTATGACCAGACTAAGGAGGTCAGAGAATTTCTTTATGGAAAGATAGGGAAACATTAGGGTCCTTCCTTGGGAAGAAAGGAACAGGTGAAAAGAAGGCAGGAGATAGAGAAATTCTGTTTTCTGAGCTCTAAGAACCCCAACATCACAACAAAATGCCGTAAAAAGGGCCAAGGGAGTTATGAGCCAGGAATCATAAACTACAGTGAGCTTTGTCTACATAAAATAAAAATAACAAGATTCATTTAAATATTCTGCAAAACTGTCAATGTCATGAAAAACAATACTACAAAACTGTCACAGACAAGAAGAGACTAAGGCAACATAGCTACTAACTGCAACGTAGTATCTTTGGTTAGATTCTGGAAAAGAAAAAGGACATTAGTGGTAAAACTGTGGTGGTGCAAAGAAACTCTGCAGTTTAGTTCATAGTAATATTTATATAATGATATTAACCTCTTAATCTTGACAAATGAACCACAGTTATGTAAAATATTAACATTAGAGGCAAGTGGGAGAAGAGTATATGGAACTTTCTGAACTCTCTTTGCAACTTCTCTGTAAATATAAAATCCTCCCAAAATAAAAAGCATACAAACAAAAATGTAAGACTACCAACATTTTTATTTTCACACAGAAAATAAAGAATACTTTAAAATATTGTTAAGTGATATATAGCTAATGATTATGTACTTTGGAACTACAGTTCAGTTATTTTGAGGCTTTTTGTTTTCATTACTACTTTCTTTTTAAGCAGTATTTCCTATTTTTAAAATAAGCCTAGAGTTAAGTTTAATTAATTAAACAGCCACTGTTTCAAAGAGCCCTGATTAAAGAAAACAGGTGTATTAGGAGACTCAGCTGTGACATTGCTTCCCCAGTGTTTCTATTATATAAAGAAATGTGATTTTTTTTCAAAATATTTGTTTTTCATTAATAGGCCATCTCCCTTAGTTAATGAAAAAGTAGACAAAATAGAAGTATCTTAGCAAGGGCATAAGACTGTGTGAAGAAACAAGAAGTTCATTGAACAGAAGGAATTCTTTCACATTTTCACATTTCAGCTCCTGTTCTAGAATAAAGTGGGGGCAGAACATTCTCTCTGTAACTGTTTGGCTCTCAACAAGTGGGATTAGTTTCCTCAATCAATATCTGATTAATTGTGATTCTATTTTGTCTAAAGCAGGCTTCTGTGAAAAGATGGCTTTTCTTCAAAATAATAAATCACTTTTATCATTTCACTTTTTCTTTAAATCCACTTATATTTTTGAAATGGAATTGATCATAGTGATATTGAGACATCACAAGACCATCTGCCCATGAGCATTTAGGTAAAGAACATGTAGGAGAAAAGCCCACACCCAAAGACACTGATTTTGCTTCTGGGAGCCAAAGATAAATAAGTGGTTTCCAGTGTTTTATAACAGAATTCTAAGTACAGTCGACCCTCCTTATCTGCAGGTTGCACATCTCTGAACTCAACCAACCGCATATCCTAAAATATATTCAGAAAAAAAAAACAATTAAAAAATACAACAATTAAAAAATATAAATTAAAAACAATACAAAACAACAACTTTTTACATAGCACTTACATTGTATTAGGTAGTATAACTAATCTAGAGATTTTTAAGTATACAGGAGGATGTATATATGTTATATGCAAATACTACCCTATGTTTGGTAAGAGACTTGAGCATCTGCAGATTTTGGTATTCTAGGGGGTTCCTGGAACCATCCCCAGTGGATACCAAGGGAAGATTGTACTCTGTTTAGTCAACACTTATGCAGAAGCATAATACCACAGGTATTGACAAAGTCTGGAAACATAGACGAATACAATGTCCCCAAGAATATCTGAAATCTGCAAAAAAATATATGTTTCTATGTTTCTAAACACTGTGCATTCCCTGTGCATGTAAAAGTGACACATTTGGAGTTACCTTGGTTAAAATAAGGCTGAGAGATCCCACAGATGTGTCGGTATGCCCCATTTCAGTCTCCATAGAATATTTGAAAACTAATATTTAATAATATTTAACCACATTTTTACTTTTTACTATTCCCTTCATATCAAACCCCATGTTTTAAAACATAGTATATACCAAAGCAAATTGTACTATGTAATAATTAATGCATTCTCCTGATTTTATTATGCAAAAACATAATTGATTAAATGTTAATATGTAATAAAATTATATCCCCAAAACACATATGATGGAAGTTTCTGATCCACATGAGTTAATTTATGTTACCTCAAAAATTAATATATCTGCAGCCAAAACCAAATTATGCCTTAGATAGTCTGTACAATCTTATAATAGAAAAGTGTGCTCTTTCAGAGGAAGACTCTGAATTACAGATAGCTATTTAACGAACAGTGCTACTTTTGTGGTTACATCTAAACCCAGGACTCAAGTTTGGGAATCATTGTTTTAGAGGTAGGTACTAATAGATTGCCAGTAATTGCCTGATTAATATTAATTATATAATTAGCTGATGTCAATGAAATATTTTTGATTTCAGGCCTGGGTACCTTTGCCATGAATAAAGTAAGACAAGCTATGGCATGCCAATAAAGAAGGTTAAAAAGATGAAGAAAGAAAAAGAGACCTATTTGATGGGTAAGAGAAAAATTCAGAGTGTATCAGAGAAGTTGCCCCTCAGAGTTAGCATGAGAGTCACAGATGTCTTCAGCCTAGATGAGAAGACATTGTTAATGAAAGAAGAGTTGGCTGAGGGGGTCTGCTGGAGATCCACTGGAGATCCAAAAAAGATACCTTGTTGCTCAAACAGATGCACTTATAAAACTTTCACACTACTTACTCTTATTTCTTAAATATTCTGTTTTTTCTAACATGCGAAAGCCATATGAAAAAAATAGTGATGCAGGCATAGATTGTAGATATTGCAGGTTCAGTTCCAGACTACAACAATAAAGCAAATATCACCGTAAAGTGAGTCACGAGTTTTTGGTTTCCCAGTGCAATAAAAGCTATATTTACACTATACTATAGTCTATTCACTGTGCAATAACATTATGTCTAAAACAATGTACATACCTTAATTAAAAATATATTGTTGACTAAAAATGCTAGCAGTCACGTGATCCTTCAGCAAGTCATAGTCTTTTTGCTGGTGTAGGGTATTGCCTCATGTTAATGGATACTGATTGATCAGGGTGATGGTTGTCGAAGGTTGGGGTGTCTATGGCAATTTCTTAAAATGAGACAACAGTGAAGTTAGTCACATCAACTGACTCTTTCAAAACAGATTTCTCTGTAGCATGTGATGCTGTTTGAAAGCATTTTACCCACTGTAGAACTCCTTTCAAAACTAAAGTCAGTCCTCTCAAATCCTGCCACTGCTTTATCAACTAAATTAATAAAGTATTCTAAATTCTTTGTTATTATTTCAACAATGTTAACATGAATTTATAAAATATTCTAAATTCTTTGTTATTATTTCAACAATATTGACAACATCTTCATCAGGAGTATATTCCATCAAAAAACCACTTCTTTGCTCATTCATAAAAAGTAACTTCTCATCTGTTCAAGTTTTATCATGAGATTGTAGCAATTGAGTCACATCTTCAGGCTGTACCTCTAACTGTAGTTCTAATTCTAATTCACTTGCTCTTTCTACCATATCTGCAGTTACTTCTTCCACTGAAGTCTTGAACCCCATCAAAGTCATCCATGAAGGTTGAAATCAACTTCTACCAATCTTCTGTTAATGATATTTTGACCTCTTCCTATTAATCATGAATGTTCTTAGTGGTATCTACAATAGGAACCCTTTCCAGAAGGCTTTTAACTTACTTTGCCCAGATCCATCAGAGGAAACCCTATCTATGGCAGTTATGACATTATAAAAGGTATATATTAAAAAATAAGTCTTGAAAGTCAAAATCACTCTTAGATCCATGGACTAAAGAATGTATGTTGTGTTAGCATACATGAAAATGAAATTTATCTCCTTGTACATCTTCATCAGAGGTTTTGGGTGACCAGGTATATTGTCAATGAGCAGTAATATTCAGAAAGAAATTCCTTTTTTCTGAGCAGGTCTCAACAATGGGCTTAAAATATTCAGTAAACCATGCTGTAAACAGAAATGCTGTAATTTAGGTTTTTTGGTTCATATATAGAGCACAGGCAGAGTAAATTTGGTATAATTCTTAAGGGCACTAGAATTTTCAGAACGGTAAATGAGCATTGGTTTTTCAACTTAAATTTATCAGGTACATTAACCCCTAACGAGAGATTCAGCCTGTCCTTTGAAACTTTGAAGGCAGGCGTTGACTTTTCCTCTCTATCAATAAAAGTACTAGATGGCATCTTCTTCCAATGAAAGGTTGTTTTGTCTATATTGAAAATCTGTTGTTTAGTGTAGCCACTTTTACCAATTATCTTAAATCAGTCCTTTAGAGAATTTGTTGCAACTTCTACAGCAGCACTTGCTGCCTCACCTTGCACTTTTATGCTATAGTGTTGGCTTCTTTCCTTAAATCTCATGAACTAACTTCTGCCCAGGTAGTATGAATAGTATCCAATAGTTAGTTTTTCCAATTCTTGGCCGCCTCCTTCCCTTCCCCTTCTAGTAGTCCCTGGTTCTATTATTGCCATCTTTATGACCAGGAGTACCCAAAGTTTAGCTTTCACTTATCAGTGAGAACATGCAGTATTTGCTTTTCTGTTCCTGCATAATTTGCTTAAGATAGTGGCATTCAGCTGTATCTATGTTGCTGCAAAGGACAATATTTCATTCTTTTTCATGTCTGCATAGTATTCCATAGTGTACATGTACCATTTTCCTTTATCCAATCTACCATCGATGGACACCTAGGTTAAGTCCATGTCTTTGCTATTGTGGATAGTGCTGTGATGCACATACAAGTGCATTAGTCTCTTTGGAAGAACAATTTATTTTCTTTGGAAATGTACCCAGAAATGGGATTGCTGAGACAAATGGTACTTCTGATTTAAGTTATTTGAGAAATCTCCAAATTGTTTTCTACAGTGGCTGAACTCATTTACATTCCCACCAATAGTGTAAATATTCATTTTCTCTGCAGCCTCACCAGTATTTTTTTTTTTTTTACCTTTTAATAATAGCCATTTTGGCCATTTTGACTGGTGTGAGTGGTATCTCATTGTGGCTTTTGATTTGCATCCCTCTGATAATTAATGCAGTTGAGCATTTTTTATATTGTTGGCCACTTGTTTGTCTTCTTTTGAGACATGTCTGTTCATGTCCTTTGCCCATTTTTAAATAAAGTCCTTTGTTTATTGCTTGTTGAATTGTTAGGGTTTCCTATAGATTCTTGATATTAGACCTCTGTTTGATACAGAGTTTGTTAATATTTTGTCCCATTTGGTAGGTTGTTGGTTTACATTGCTGATAGTTTCTTTTGCCTTTGCAGAAGCTCTTTAGTTTAATTAGATTTTACTTGTCAATTTTTTTGTTGCAATTGTTTTTGATGAATTTGTCACAAATTCTTACCCAAGGTTTATGTCCAGAATGTTGTTTCCCAGATTTTCTTCTAGTATTCCTACAAGTTTGAAGTCTTATAATTAAATCTTTAATTCATGTTGATTTAATTTTTGTATATGATGAAAGGTAGAGATCGAATTTCATCCTTCTGCATATGGCTAGCCGGTTTTTCCAGCACCATTTATTGAATAGGGAGTCCTTTCCCCTTGATTATTGTCAGCTTTGTTGATGATTAGATTGCTGTGGGTGTGTGGCTTTGTTTCTGGTTTCTCTATTCTGTCCCATTGGTCTATGTATCTGTTTTTGTATCAATACCATGCTATTTTTGTTACTGTATTCTTATGGTATAGTTTGAAGTTGAAAAATGTAATGCCTTCAGCTTTGTTCTTTTGCTTAGGATTGCTTTGGTTATTTGGACTCTTTTTTGGTCCCACACAAATTTTAGCATATATTTTTCTAATTCTGTAAAAAGTTATGTTGGTAGTTTGATAGGAATGGCATTGAATCTGTAAATGGTTTTAGGTAGTATGGCCATTTTAATAGTGTTGATTCCTCCACTCCATGAGCATGGAATGCTTTTCCATTTGTTTGTGTCATCTATGATTTCTTTCAACAGTGTTTTGTAGTTCTCTTTACAAAGATCTTTCTCTTTCTTGGTTAGATGTAATCCTGAGTATTTTTTTTTTTTTTGCAGCTATTGTAAAAGGGATTGCATTCTTGATTTGACCCTCAGCTTGAACATTATTGGTGTATAGAAATGCTATTGAGTTTTGTACATTGGTTTTGTGCCCTGAAACTTTACTGAAGTCATTTATCAGTGCTAGGAGCCATTTGGTAGCATCTTTAGGGTTTTCTAGGGACATAATTAAATTATCAGTGATAAGAGTTTGACTTCTTTTCCTATTTGGATGCCTTATTTTTCTTGCCTTGCTCTGGCTAGAACTTCCAGTACTATGTTAAATAGGAGTTGGCTGTGGGTTTGTCGTAGATGGTTCTTATCATTTGGAACCATATTTCTTCTACACTTAGTTTATTGACGTTTTTATCATGAAGAGATGTGGGATTTTATCAAAAGCTTTATCTGCATCTATTGAGATGATCTTTTTTTTTTATTGAATTCTGCTTATGTGGTGAATCACAATTACTGATTTGCACATGATGAGCCAACCTTGCTTTTCAGGAATGAAGCCTAATTGATAATCTTGATAATGGTGAATTAACTTTTTGAAGCACAGCTGGATTCAGTTGGATAGTATTTTGTTGAGAATTTTTGTGTCTATATTCATCAGAAATATTGGCCTGCATTTATTTTTCATGGGCCTGCAGTTTTCTTTTTTTGTGTGTCTTAAACAGGTTTTAGTATCAGAGTGATGCTTGCTTTGTAGAGTGAGTTAAGGAGGAGTCCTTCCTCCTCAATTTTTGGCATAGTTTCAGTAGAATTAGTACTAGCTCTTCTTTGTATGTCTGGTAGAATTTGGCTTTAATGCATCTGATCCAGGACTTTTTTTGGTTGGTAGGTTTTTCATGACTGATTCAATTTAGGAACTCAATATTAGTCAGTTCAGGGTCTCAATTTCTTCCTGATTCGATCTTGAAAGGTTGTGTGTTTCTAGGAATTTATTTTCTCTAGATTTTCTAGTTTATGTGCACAGTGGTGTTCATTATAGTCTCTGAAGATCTATTTTATTTCTGTAGGATCAGTTGTAATGTAATTTTTCTTGTTTCTGGTTGTGTTTATTTGGATCTTTTTTTTGTTGTTGTTAATCTAGCTAGTGGTCCATCAATCTTGTCCATCCTTTCCAAGAACAAAATTTGGTTTCATTAATTCTTTGTATGGATTTTCAGGTCTCAATTTCTTTCAGCCCTGCTGTGATTTTTGTTATTTATTTTCTTCTGCTAGCTTTGGGATTTGTTTGTTCTTATTTTTTTAGTGCCTGTAGGTGTGGTGTTAGAACATTAATTTGAGATCTTTCTAACTTTTTGAGATAGGCATTTAGCAATATAAACTTTCCTTCTAACACTCCTTTTCCTGCATCATAGAGATTTTGATATGTTGTGTCTCTTTTTCATTTATTTCAAAGATTTTTTATTTCTGCCTTAATTTCATTGTTTACCCAAAAGTCATTCAGGAGTAAGTTAATTTCCATGTACTTGTATTGATTTGAGAGATCTTCTTGGCATTGATTTCTATTTTTGTTCTACTGTGGTCCAAGAATATGATTGGTATGATTTCAATTTTTAAATTTATTGAGATTACTTTGTGGCCAAGCATGTGGTTGATCTTAGAGTATGTTCCATATGCAGATAAGAATGTATATTCTATGGTTGATGGAGTATTCTGTAGATGTCTATTAGTTCCAATATTTTGAATTTAAGTTCAGAATTGTCAGTTTTCTGTCTCAATAATCTGTCTCACACTGTAAATGGGGTGTTGAAGACTCCCACTATTATTGTCTAGTCTGGCTGTCTAAGTTTGTTTGTAGGCCTAGAAGTATTTGTTTTATGAATCTGAGTACTACAATGTTAGGTGCACATATATTTATGATAGTTAAATCTTCTTGTTGAGTTAAACTGTTTATCATGTAATAATCTTTTTACCCTAAATCTCATAGCCTTTTGCTATAAGGGATTCAATAATGTCTAGAAAATGTTTTTGAACACCCCTGGGGTTTGCTAACCCTTGACTCTCTGGGATTATGGCTGATAGAATGGTGGCTGGAGGCAAGAAAACTGGATGGTGTCTGCTTTGTCCTAAACGGATTATATGCATGAGAGATGAAAGATGAGATGATGCCAGCTTAGGGCAGGCAGAGTCTGGCATACAAGCTAAGGTCATACAAAGTATCTTTCATATGTAACTTGGCATGTTCCTAAGCAGCAAGTACTGGGGTCTACGTGGAACATTTCTAACAGGTATTCTCTCACTGTTCCAGCAATTTTCACACCTTTCCCAGTCCCATATAAACATCACTTTATAGCATTTGCATTCAATGTGATTTAATAGGAGAAGTAATTTATTCAAAATCAGTCTCCAACTGCAGAATAGTCAATTTACTTTGGAAGAATTAACAGTTAACTGTTTCAGAGGAATTTTCTTGCTCAGGCTTGTTAGAGAATCTAATCATATATGTGACTTATAAATTCAATTTCCTAAGGCTGGAATGGCACTGAGATTCCCTTGGGGTTTTGTTCATTTGTTTGTTTATACTGAAATCCATTGTGTGGTTTATGAGTGCCTAAAGTGAGTGAGAAGTCCTGACATTATTTGCAATTTGTATAACTGTGTCTGTCCACTAGATATTATGGCTTGATGCAGGTAGTAACAGCAATCCATTGCTCTAAGACTTCTAGATTCACAAGGTATTTAGTTCTCCCAGCTTTTCCATGATCTCTGGGAGGTCAAACAATCATTCTGGACTTGATTACAGATGTATCACATCAGAAATATGTATGTCAACAGTCCACTGCTCATTGTTATCAGTTTTCAGTTTCCACTGATGCACCTAGCCTGATGCTTACTCACATATTGCTAACTCATATTTTTCCAGATAGTTTAACACTGACCTTTCTATTCAAATCTGTCATAGTACCATGCTAAATATGATGCATAGCACTTAATGACACAGCGAAAACAGTCTGAAAGCGTATTGCCTTAGGTTCAACTATCTTGCCACCTTCCAGCCCTATATAGTCATTGCTTTATAGCACTTTCATACAACGTAATGTAATAACAGAGGTAACTTAATCAAACTCAGTCTCCAACTGCAGAATAGTCAATTTGCTTGTGAGAAATGAGCAATTAACACCTTTAAAGATGCTTACTTGTCCAGGCTTGTTAGAAGATCTAATTATGACATGCCTTATAAATTCAAGTTGACTACTTTGAATTGTAAGTTTTTCTCACTTTCACAATATATGTGATATAGTTATTAAGACTTTGAAAGAAAATATTTCAAGAAACCTAGGAATAAAATATAATTCATAATTTAAAAGATATATTTCTTTAGGTTTGTATTTTATTATTTTTATAATCTAATACATGTATATAACAAAATATATTATAATAGCAAAAAAATCTAGTCTTTTCACCCAAATCCTTTTTTCTGAGTCTCATTCTTTAGAAGTTACCTTGGTTTTTACATCTTCTGCTGATATCACCATAATTCTAAAGGATATGTTTATAACTAAATTCCTTGCTGTATTAAGCAGGGTTTCCCAGAGAAAGAGAGCCAATCGGCTGTATACATAAATATATTTATTGTAAGGAACTGGCTGATGCAATTATGACGGCTGACAAGTCCCAAGATGTGCAGGGTTGGTAAGCTGGGGGCTCACAAGCGCTGACGGCATAGCTCCAGTCTAAGGCCAATAGCCTCAAGACCCAGTACTAGCCAGTGTTTCAGTGTGAGTCCAAAGCAGAAAAAAGATAATGTCCCAGTCAAAAGCAATGAGGCAGAAGGAATTCTCTTTTACTCAGAGGAGGGTCAAGCTTTTTGTTCTATTTAGGCTTTTAACTGATTGGATAATGCCTAGATACATTAGGGAGAGCAACCTGCTTTCCTCAGCCTACAGATATACATGTTAATGTCATCCAGCGACACCCTCACAGAAACACCCAGAATAATGTTTGACCAAGTATTTGGACATCTCATGGCCTAGTCAACACAAAAAATTAACCATCACTCTTAGTTTATTGACTTTATCCATTTACTTTTTTTATGTACCAGTAATGATAACAATTGACACTACCAAGGAAGAATCAGTTCCCATATATAGCTCCCATGTTCCTCCCTTTCCTCCCACTACTTAGGTATATTGATTACATTTTTAATTTTTAGTTATTCCAGTAATTAACCCTATAGAGTTACATACTTCAATTTTTTTCTTGCTCTTTCAACTTTAGCTACTTTTTCTTAACATCCTACTATGCACTGCTACAATAATCCTTTCTCTGCACCTCCTGACACATCAGCTATATCATCAATTACATGGTCAAGGTTTACAACATTTAATCTCATTCTGGAAGTATAATTAAAATTTCAGTGCTTCACTTGTAAAATTTGAAACCAAGAAACAGCATTTTCATCATTATAATCATATAATTACTCTTAATTATAAAACTAATTAATTGGATAGACCTATAGAAAAGATAACATTCACTAAGCCCCTACTGCTATTAGGATATTATACACATCAAGATCAAATGGATTCTTTTTCTTTTTACTTCTCCAAGTGCCCAAATCATCTACAATTTTTATTTGTTACATATTTTGACCATGACTTTCTTATATATTTGTTTCTTTAAGTTAAATTTCTATTTACTCTTCACTTGTTGTAAGAAATAGTCACTATATTATTAAGAACTCCCAGTTTTTTAATCACATTATCTATTGGGCATATTATATCCTAGTTTCTGAAAGGTTTTTTTTTTTTTTTTTTTTTTTGAGACACGATCTCATTCTGGTAGCCCAGGCTGGAGTGCAGTGGTGCCATCTCGGCTCACTGCAGCCTCTAGTTCCCAGACTTAAGCCATCCCCCCACTTCAGCCTCCTGAGATGGGAATACAGGTGTGTGCCACCATGCCCAGCTAATTTTCTGTATTTTTAGTAGAGATGGAGTTTTGCTATGTTGCCTGGGCTGGTCTCGAACTCCTGGACTCAACCAATCTGCCCTCCTTGGCCTCATAGAGTACTGGGATTACAGACATGAGCCACCATGCACAGCCTTGAAAGGTATTCTTAAAGGAAGCTTCTGATTTCCTGTTCTAAATTGGACTAATTGTACTCTAAAATTGCCTGTACATCTGTCATCCTGAGATTTCTTTTTATTATACTCTTGAGTAGTTCCTTTGTTTCCTGGTACTACATACTCTTCCTTTTTCTTAGAATTCATTTTTTTTTCTTGCTCCTAGAATAATACTGAATTTCTTTCTGCCTGCACCTGAGGATAAGTGAAAAGTAGAAAGAATTTCTGAATTTTTGTATGTCATGGAACATTTTTATTATCCCCTTATCTTTGTTTGGCTCTGTATTGAATTTTAGATGCAAAATCATTCCATCAGAACTTTCAGTATATTATATCATTGATAAAACGGATCTGATGTTAATCTGGTTATTATTTTTTGTACATACTTGCTTTTATGCCTAGAAGTTTTAATTTTTATTCTTCTTGTTGAGAAATGTCATAGAAATATATATGTTTTTAAAATATATTCAATCTTATTGACCTCAGTAGACACTTTCAATCTGAAAAGATGTCTTTCCTCAAATTTAACAAATATTCTTCTATTTCTTATTTCTTCTCTTCCACTCTTTCCTCTTTTTAGATGCATGTTAAACTTCCCAGATTAATACTTATTGCCTCTGGAACCTGTCATTATATTTTCTATCTTTTCTTTATCTCCTGAGAAATTCATTGATTTTATTTTCCAAATTTTCTGTGGATTTTTTCACAGTCATATTTTTTGTTAGTCTGTAATCCTTTTTTATAAAATTGTTTTGGCTTTATGGGTATGTTGTCATCACAAATATCTCTAAAGATATAAATTATAATTCAAGAAGTACCTTTTTCTTTGGTTGGTTGGTTTTCAGCTCCCTGTGTTATTTGTGATTCTTCCTGATTTCAGCTTTCTACTTTTCTTTACCTTGGTCGTTTCCTTTTGTGTTATATTTCTTAAATATCTAGTGATACTTAGGTATTGGTTAATATTTTAAAATAAAACACCATTGATTTGTTTTGGCTCTGTCCCCACACAAATGTCATCTCAAATTGTAATCTCCATGTGTTGAGGGAAGGACCTGGTGGGAGGTGATTGGATCATGGGGGTGGTTTTCCCCATGCTGTTCTCATGATAGTGAGTTCTCATTGAGAGCCGATGGTTTTAAAGTGTGGCATTTCCCCCTTGCTTGCTCTCTCTCTCCTGCTGCCATGCAAGACATGCCTTGCTTTCCCTTCATCTTCCACCATGATTGTAAGCTTCTTGAGGCCTCCTCAGCCATACAGAACTGTGAGTCAATTAAACTTTTTTTTGTGGGGGGTTGGGTGTTGGGGGAGACGGAGTCTTGCTCTGTCTCCCAGGCTGGAGTGCAGTGGCGTGATCTCAGCTCACTGCAACCTCCATCTCCTGGGTTCAAGCAATTCTCCCACCTCAGCCTCTTGAGTAGCTGGGACTACAGGCGCCCACCGCCATGCCTGGATAATTTTTGTTTTTTTAGTAGAGACAGGGTTTCACCATATTGGCCAGGCTGGTCTCGAACTGCTGGTCTCATGCTTTTCCAGATAGTTTTACACTGACATTTTTATTCAAATCTGTCATAGTGCTATGCTAAATATGACGCATAATACTTAATGACACAGCAAAAACAGTCTGACCTTGTGATCCACCCTCCTCCCCTCCCAAAGTGCTGGGATTACAGGTGTAAGCCACCGTAGTCTGCCTAAACCTTTTCTTTATAAATTACCCAGTCTCAGGTAGTTTTTATAGTAGTGTGAAAACAGACTAATACAACCATATTGATTAATATATGTAGATAACATAGGTTTCTTCTGCTTTCCTGCAAATTTATTTTTCCAAACATCACTCTCACCTAATGAAAGTTAACTGCACTCACTGATTTGTAAGCTGACATGTCAACTAGAGAATTCATATTAGGGTCTAAGATTTGGGAGCAGACATACTGACTAGGATTCCCCCAAAATGTGAAAATAGAAAATATTTTATTCTGGTGACAGCAATTTCAACACTTAGAGCTGTGGCTGTGCCCAGGCAGATCACTCAATCTCTTTGGAAAGCAGTCTTTTTTTATATACTACCTCTGTCTTTTCCTCTCAACCTCATACTATGCTAAGCTAAAATATATGATATAATATAATACTTTGGTTTAAAAACCTTCTATTCACTTAAATATTTACATTGTTATAATTCCAAATATGCCTATTCTTTCTCTTTTAAAGGTTCCCCTTTCCTTGGGTATATACACAGGGCCCACAAATTTAAACTGGTACAAGCACATACAAGTACACAGAGGACTTCAATTATAAATTCAAAGAAACATGACCTAGTTTCCCATTAATTTATCTGTCAAGAATGCAATTTTTTTTTTTGAGATTGGTATCTCGCTTTCTCACCCAGGCTGGAGTGCAATGGCATGATCACGGCTCACTGCAACCTCCGCCCAATGGGTTCAAGCAATTCTCCTGCCTCAGTCTCCCAAGTAGCTAGGAATACAGGCACCCCCGACCATGCCTGGCTAATTTTTTGTATTTTTAGTAGAGACGGGGTTTCACCATATTGGCCAGGGTAGTCTCAAACTCCTGATCTCAGGTGATCCACCTGCCTCGGCCTCCTAAAGTGCTGGGATTACAGGTATGAGCCACCGCATCTGGCCAAGAATGCAATTCTTAACTTGTATGTTATGTAACTATTCAAAATACTTAGAAACCCTAAATCCTCAAAAATCTTTAGAAAGGTAAAGATTTCACATATCAACACACACACACATACACACAAATAGAAAGTAAAAGATCTTTAGAAAGAAAAAAATACAAAACCGAATTAAGAGAAAAACTTGTGCACACTAGTCCATCATTTTGTTTTAAGCTGAAAGCAGTATCAAAAAATTTCTTCCTTGCTGGCATGAAAACAGTAAGTCACTTTACTAGTTTTCATTACTGTTGGTACAGATAGCACAGTTGAGATGTAAAACTATGTAAAATCAGCATAAGTTTCAAGCATTTTTATTCTGAAGACTGATAAATTGACAATGTCAGCCCCTTCAGAGAAGTACTCAGTGTTACTAAAATGAGCACATACAGCTTGACTAGAGGAGTAGCAAGGAAAAGCAATATCTGTATTCGGCGTGGGTCTGCAGGGGGATTCCTTTGAAGAGGACTTTGTAAGTCACTTGACATTTTCTTTATGTAATGTCTTATAGTCCCCAGTGAACTTTCCAGGGCAGCTTGTCACCACCTGCCTCAGTCTGAGCATGTAAAGTGTAGAAATGAATTGACCATTCCAGGCATAGATTTTTTTCTGTCCGGTGCTTGAAAGATGAGGCACAGAGAAATCCCTCTCAGCTCTGAAAGTCTGTGTATCTACATTGAAAAACTCTGGCTCAAAACCAAGTGTTTAACTGGGAAAAAAGCAAAGGAAAGAATAGCAACAAATTATACAATTCCATATTGTACAAAGTGAACATCTTCAAATCCAAGCCATAATCCTAATCAATTCTACTGATTCTTTAGACATTTATTTAACACCTATTATTTGCAAAGCACTAGGGAAGGCATGGAGGGTGTGAAGGTGATTAATATACTGTTCGTATCCTCAGAAAGTTTATAATAAATAGAAGTTATAAAAGTCATTCCTACCCATAAATAGGGACTGCATGTGGTGAATATCAGATACATGAAAAGGGCTATGTATCAAGATTTGTTAATATCAAATTTCGGTGTAGATTTCCTGGGTGGGTGGGAATAATGGGAGTGAATGAGACCTAGAGACAGAAAAAGGCTAGTCCTAATAAAGAGGAATCCATGAAAGCAGAGGAAAGGTAAGCTCTTGGGACAAAATTACATAGCTCAAAGGCAAGAAAAAGGCACTAACAGTATTAAAGATTCACCTATATGCTCAGCATTAAGCACATTATTTTCTCAGATGGAAATTCTGTTATAAAGTCAAAAAAGTGCAATAGTAGGAGCCATTACTATATGTAATTAATTACCAACCCCATAGTTCAGTCAAAATAGGAGTAACAGGAACAAAGAAGAAATACAGCATCGCTTAAGGATTGAGAATGGAAAGCAACCTAAGTAGTTGCTGAAAGAATACTTGATACAAAAGTGAAGTATTGTGTGAAACTGAACATGGAAAGAGAAATATTTAGACAACAGGCTGACTGGCTGCTACGTTTGTTATGGTAGGTGAGGCAAGAATGATGTCTTAGAAGTGTATAGCCACTTCACTCTTAAAAGAGGGTATTTATTTTTTCAATCTGCTGGATCTCAAGATGAAGGCTCTAAAGGCACCCCTCTGTTACCATCTAATTTGCTGGGAGAAGAGAGCATGCAGATGACTTAGGGGACATTTGAAATAGCAAAGATAAGGATAGGCTAGGGCAAAGACAAGGAATGCCTCTGGGAGTGTGCAGGAAGGGAAAATTTACTTCCATTTATTAGGATCAGTGAATGTTGTAAGTTTAGGGGGCATTTGAGCTGGACCTTAAAGCCTGAGTTGGATTTCACAAGCAGAAGGGAAAACGGTAACAGGTAAACATAGAGCACATTTGAGGGGCAATGAGGAGTTTTATTGACTCCAGCAGAGACTATCTTTAAGAAAGTGGAAGGAGATGAAGTGATCATTTTATGGGGAACATTTTCTTCCTCTTCTACTTATTGAGAACTCAGCTGCCTGTGTTACTTGTGCTTCTTCCTGGTTTCAGCTTTCTATTTTTCTTTGTCATGGTCATTTCCTTTTGTGTGGCTTGTATTTCTTAAATATCTAGTGATACTTAGGTATTGGTTAATATTTTAAAATAAAACACCATTGATATGGTTTGGCTCTGTGTCCCCACCCAAATCTCATTTCAAATTGTAAACTCCATGTGTTAAGGGAGGGACCTGGTGGGAGGTGATTGGATCATGGGGGTTGTTCCCCCATGCTGTTAATGTATGCTAAGCATTTACATACATTAACTCACTTAATCCTCACAACAAATATAAATAACTGGTATGATTGTGCCCATTTTGCAAAGTGCAAACTCAACCTCAGAGAGACTGTGTAACTCACCCCAAGTTACCCACCTGGTAAGGAGTGAGTTCAGACACAAATCCAAGAAAAGAAACAAATTAAGGAAGAAAGTTTGAAACCTGTTGCAATCATCCAAGAAATACATCATTAGGGAAGGTGTGACTTAATACTTTAGAGGAGCAAATGTGAAAGATTTGTCTGGGAGACTTAGCAAAGTAGAATGTGTAGAGCTTGGTGACTGATTAGATGAAGAAATTGAGATGGTAAGCAAAATAAAATAAAGGAGAATTAGTAGCTAACAAGACTGAGATTATCAAATCATACTGTGCACGTGCATGCACACACACACACACACACACACACACCACGATTCTGTAAATAATCTATAGAGTGCCACCTAATAAGGAAAAAAAAAGGAACCTAGTCTCTATAAAAGAAGAATTTGTCTTCCATGAATCAGCTTTATCATGTACTGAATCATGTCTCTAAAAGTAAATACATATAATAAAAGCTCATTATACTCTTGGACTGTAACATAGATGAAAGTTCTGTCTTTATCATTAATGATATTGTGAACAAAATTCCCACCAACCTAAGCAGTATAATATATAATGACAAATAGGCAATGATTTCTTAAAGGTTAAGAGTTTCCTTTGTTTTTATTTGTGCCTGTTTTCATAAAATGGGATGTAAACAAAATGAAGTATTATATCATAGCTATAATCTTGCCAATGTTGTCTAATAGGCAGGGGTATAAAAGGAAGATGGCAGCTATTATCTTTTTGCCATGCAAATCCAATACCATTGGTACCTGGGTGCTGGAAAATTTAGAGAGCTAGTAGATATATGTAAATATTTGTGAGATGAGCAAACAATCAAATTAGCAATTTAAGAATTTTGACCATATGGTCATTGCCATAATGCCTGAGTGTAGCAGACATTACAGCAATTAACTGAAGTTCAATACTAAGAACACAATAAGGGATGAATGAAGGAAAGGAAAAGTATGGATAAAGGGAAGATTATGCTTATCTATATGGATATCTGTGTTTAATAAGGAGAATAACAGCTACCAAATGTCATGATTTGCTGGATAGTGGAAAGCCACAGGACTCAAATAGCTTTCCTAATGGCCTGCTAACAAAGTAGTGACACTAATGAATTTCTTTCTTAAGGGCTTTTTGTTTGTTTTATGTTTAATTAGAAACTTATTTAAACAAATAGTGCAAAGAAGGCAATTGTACATCATGTTAAAAACTCTGGAGGAAATAAATAAGTCACTGTGATTGGTTACAGTAGTATAGGTACAGTAGATCAGATACAGTAGTATAGGAATATTTCTCTGAGGAGAAGTCTTCTGAGCTAAGATCTAAGAACAGTAAGATGGAGGTTACCATGTGACAAGAGGAAGGAAAGCATCCCAGGCAGAAGGAAACACAAGCTTCACATTAGGAGGAACAAAAGATCTGAACACAGAGTGTTTGGGGTAGATCAGGAAGCTAAGAATGGAAAGATAGCTCTGGAATATATCATGGAGGGCCTTCCTGGCCAATAATTACTTGTTTTACCTTCTGCTCGGCTTGAACCTGAATGTGTAGCCATGCCTTCAGGCTCTAATATTCCCCAAGTATTTTTGCTTGCTTTCAATCTTTAACTATTGACCCCAGTGCATCTTCTCAGGCTCCCAACCTTATTAGGTCTCCCATTGTGACTCAACATTTCAGGCCCTGTGCTGAATTATTTATGGCCAACTCAGCATTACTACCACTCTCTTCTAAAATTTTATCTGCATTTCAGAGGGAAAGCTAGAAACCACATTTCCCAGAACACCCTTCCCTTCATGTTCCCCATTAGACCTGTCATTCACTGAGACTTAAGAAAGGACAGGCCATTCTTCTCCAGGGGCAGGTTCAGTCAGATGCTGTGAGCAGGTCACTGGTAAGATCTTGAGAAGTACTCATTTCCATGCTTCATGCTAAGATTGTCAGTGGCAGCTTCCCTGACTTTGCTCCTCCAGCTGTTCCAACAGCTGTATCAGCCTCAAATTCCTTATCCTAGAACTAACATATACTAAAACCTTTCAAACGTGGGCTATAGAGAGTAGCTTTTGCATTTAATATCAGGAAAACAAAGCCTCAAAAGATAGGATCTGGAATTGATTCTGTAAACTAATTAGATTAAAGGACAGAAATAATCTCATTGCCAGTAAAAAAAAAAAAAAAAATAGCTCATGGCATACATGTTTAAAATATGAAGTCTTACTGCCTGGGATCTAGTGCATTAAAATGTCAGAGTTTGGGGAACACAGATGTATTGATCTGGGTACTCTGAATAAAAAATCTGGATTCAATGTGTTAATTCAAGTGGCTAAAAAGTGTTTTCTCTTAGTTCACTTAGTTCATCTAAACATAGACTCAACACTGGTCTACATTAAATGATGAAACTAAGACGTGAGAACTTCATTGTATAGTGTAAGGGAAGGAATTCAATAGCTTAAAGGATATTGGAAGGAGTTATTACCTATTACATCACCTTCCTGTAAATATGTCACAGTGGGGATTCAAAGGATATTTCCCTCACTAAGGCATTTACAGACACAATTACTCCATCCCTTTCTTCTCCCACTTTACTCCTTTGACCACTATGACACTGTATGCTTATGATTATTCTTCCTGGTATTCCTTGCTTATTTCTCTTTCTCCACTCTGCCATAGTATTGGAGTTTTCAAGGGTCTATTTTTGGTTCTGTTTTGTTACCATTCTATAACCTTTCTCTGGATATTATCCATACCCACAGTCTTCTCTACAAACCATGTGTTACTGACTTCTAAGCAATATCTTCACCTCATATCTATCTCAGTAGTTCTTAAATATTTTCATCCCAGGAATTATTTATACTCTTAAGAATTACTGAGAATCCCAAAGAGCTGTTGTTTATGTGAGTTGTATCTGTACATATTTCTCATACTAGAGAATTAAAATGAGGAATTTTTTAAAAATACTATCTTAAAATATTAATTTATTTTATTATATTTCATAAGACATTAAATCATTCAAAAATAATAATGAATCTACTGTATACTAGCATAAATAACATGTTTTTATTTTTTAAAACTGTATTTTCCAAAATAAAAACAGTGAGAAGAATGGTATTGCTTTACTTTTTTGCAAATTTTCTTAATAGAAGACAAATGGATTACCATATCTTCTTAATTCAATTTGTTGTAATATGCTGTTTTGATTGAAGTACATTTAGAAATTCAACCTCACACAGATAAGTGGCTGGAAAAGGGAGAAGTATTTGAACAGCCATTTCATATAATTTTAATATTCTTCAATACTATATCAAAATTAAAAAAGGGTAAGTTTGTAAAGGTAAACTGCAATGTGAAATCTGAAATCATATCAATAACATTTCACAATCTGTTACATTAAAATTCATTCACCTCAGAATGTAGAAGACTTGAGAGAAAGTTACTCCCAACTTAATCATGAGAAAAGGTCAGATAAACCACAAATGGTAACTTTTTTGATCCTATTAGATAGCTAAGCTCAAAAGACAGCCAAGTAAGCTGAATTCCAAATAAAGACTAGTCCCTCTGAGACAGAATACACAAAGTGTCTTATCTGGGGCACCGGATGAGAAGAAGAGGTGGCCACTAAACACATGGATTAGAAGAAATCAACTGTTTAATTATTAAAAGTCAAGTGTGGGTTAGCATGTCAGTATGAAATACTGGGAACTTTGCCCTCACTTGTAAGCCTTCTTCCTTGGACTTCCTCTGGGTGCTTAGAAGAAAACATGGGGCAAGGCAGGGGATGAAAAAGAACCAACCTCAATGATGCAAGACTGTAGGGTATGGTCAGACGTTGCTAGGAGAAAATGTTAATTCCTTCTTGTGTCCTTGGACCCTTCTTTTCTAAGAAATAAAAGCCTTAAGCTGGAGATGAGGCAGCAATCACTGTAAGTTCCAGAGCACAGTTAACAACTCATTGCATCTGGGTCAAAGGTAAAAGGAAAAGCTCTTTCTGCTGGTGAAGGACAGAAAATCTTCCTGGTTCCAGGAATCTATATGCATACCAGGTGGAGGTCTGCCACTGCTGGAGTCCAAGGAGGTATCTCCTAGCCAACATGAACCACAGATCCAAGATTGTGGCTAGCTGTCACAGACAGGAGGGGCACAAATGCTGAGAAAGCTCTACCTCTAAGATCCAGGTATGCAAGCCCTGTATAAGACTGAAGCTGAACTAGGAAAACAAACTTCATCATAACCACCAGAAGCCTAGCATTATGTAACCAGTAAGAGCATGGAGAGAAACCTCCTCTGTACAGATATGCAGGGATATCTAAAAGCTGAAGGTGAAGCACAAACACTGAGAAAAAAACATTAGTACCCTAGCTTGCACACTAAGCTGAAAAGAAAAGCAACCTGGTACTAGAGAAATTCAAAGCCTATGGTGCTATGAAGATAACAATGGTAATGACAAACACTAAATCCAGCTTGACTCCTAAATAAATTGACTTAGCCCTTGTATTGAGAGTCCTGTGCCAAAATGACATGCACATTTCCAGGCACATGTCATTTATTTATCTCCATCTATACTATTTATCTCAGTCTCTACTGTTCTATACATAATGCCAAACATTTAATAAAAAATAATATAAGACACCAAAACACAAGGGGAAAAAAACTTAAGAGACATGAAGTTACATCAGCAAGGTGGTGAATAGAAAGCCCCAGGCCCTTCTTTTTCCCATGAAGACACTGGTTCAACAACAATGCACAGACCAATTCCTTTATGAGGAATCCAGAAGCAAGTTAAAAGCCTCCTGCATTGCAGGTGTATGAAACTATTTAATAGCCACATCAAAACTGGCAGGAAAATGTGTGACATCCTCTCAAAATAGTCCCTCCCCGCCGCACAGCACCACATTATTGGGAGGAAATTCTCATTTCTAATCCTCTCCCTGGAGACAGAAAGAGAAAGCTGGACTGTGAATACAACATTCTGACTTCTCTGGAGGACTGCCCAAGAGACTGACTTCTGTCTCACCTGTCATGGAGCAATAAGAGGACCCAGAATACTCTAAACTCCCAGGCCATGGACCGACCATGGACTGCTACTGGTCCGTGGCCTGTTAGGAATCAAGTTGACCAGCAGCAGGTGAGCAGTGGGCGACCGAGTGTTACTGCCTGAGCTCCATCTCCTGTCAGATCAGTGGTAGCATTAGATTCTCATAGGAGCATGAACCCTATTGTGAACTGCACATGTGAGGTGTCTAGGTGGCAGGGTCCACCATCCCCTCTTCAATCTGTGGAAAAAATTGTCTTCTATATAACTGGTCTCTGGTGCCAAAAAGGTTGGGGAACCCTGTTCCAAATGCGGGAGGCCTCTGAGAACAAAAGAGAGATGGGTGTTTTGCTGTTCCTCCAAAGGAGGAGGCCAATACGTGTCAGTGGTCTCTCTCTTGAGGAGAAAGAGTAAGGTAGAACATGCATCCAACATTGCAGCTTTTCAGAGGGCTGACTGAGGAACTGGTTTCTATCACACCTGTCTTCAGACAAGGATAGGACCTGACATTCTCTAGATACCCAGTGTCATTGAAAGCAGAAAAGAACTAGGCAGCACACTGCTACCTCAGAGGAATCATGGTAAACAGACAGATGCCAAAGGAAAAAAGTGATTCTGAGCTAAAAAACAAACAAACAAAAAAAACTGGAAAAGTTTTCCAATTAGGAATCTCCACACAAGTCCAGGGAGGACATCTACGTACAAAAGGTTTGAGGGGCCTCAGAATCTCTTGCCAGGGTAATTGGTAAAGTTCTTTTCCTATATGAAACCAGTCCATAAAGACTGGGAGAGGTGGCTTTTGTTTTCAAATGCATAGATCCAATACAAAGTTATAGGGGAAAAAACACACAGGGAAAATGTCCCAATCAAAGGAAGAAAATAAATCTCCAGAAACTGACCCTAAAGAAACATAGGTATAAGAACTACCATTATAAAGATGTTCAATGAGCTCAGAAAAAAAATGCATGAGTTAAATGAGAATTTCAACAAAGAGATAGAAAATGAAAAAAGAACAAAACAGAAATTTTAGAGCTTAAGAATGCAATAAGTAAACTGAAAATTTGCTAAAGGAGTTAGTTCAACAGTAGACTTGACCAAATTTGCTAAAGGAGTGAGTTCAACAGTAGACTTGACCAAGCAGAAGACTCAGCAAATTCGAAGATACGTCACTTGAAATTATCCAGTCAGAAGAGTAAAAAGAAAAAAATAATTTAAATTTGTAAAGAAAAGCTAAGAGACTTATGGGAGAGCCAAACAGATAACTATATGCATTATGAGACTGTCAGAAGAAAAAAGGGCAAAAAGCTTATTTAAATAAATAATGGCCCCAAATTCCCCAACTCTGGGGAAGAAATGGACATCCATGTTCAAGAAGCCCAATGAATCCCAAATAAGATGAACCTAAAGAAGTCCACACTGAGACATATTATAATCAACTTGTCAAAAGTTAATGAGAAAAAGAATTGTGAAAGCAACAACATAAAAGCAACTCGACTTGAACAAAGGAAGCTTTATAAGACCATCAGCAGATTTCTCAGCAGAAACCTTGCAGGCAAGGAGTGAAATGATAATTTCAAAGTTCTGAAAGAAAAATACTGTCAGCTCACGCTGGCAATCCCAGCACTTTCAGAGGCTGAGATGGGCAGATCAGGAGGTCAAGAAATCAAGACCATCCTGGCCAACATGGTGAAACCCCGTCTCTTCTAAAAATACAAAAATTAGCTGGGCATGGTGATGCACACCTGTAGTCCCAGCTACTCAGGAGGGTGAGGCAGGAGAATCGCTTGAACCAGAGAGGCGGAGGTTGTAATGAGCTGAGATCGTGCCACTGCACTCCAGCCTGGTGACAGAGCGAGACTCCTCTCAAAAAAAAGAAAAAAGAAAAAAACTGTCAACCAAAGTATGTATGTTTCATGTAAGCCCCACGATAAACACAAAGAAAAGACTTACAGAATATTTGCAAAGAAAATAAGAAAGGAACCAAAACATGAAAAAAATCAAGGAAATACAAAGGAGGATACCAAGAGAGAAAAAAAACAAAACAGCTACAAAACAGACAGAAAACAATGAACATATGATCCTAAATACCCTAAGTTGATAATTACACACTGTATGCATGTCAAAAATACTTACATGTACTCTATAAATATGTAAAATTTTATGTTTCAATAAAATAATTTTTAAAAGAAAAAATTAAGGTGCAAGTACATGGAAATATATCTAGTGCTTATGAATTTGAAGACATATTGTTAAAATGTCTGCACTCTCCAAAGTAATCCACATATTCAATGCAATCCCTATCAAAATCCCAATGGCATTGGGAACTAGCAAAACAATCTTAAAATTTATTTTGAAACACAAAAACCCCTATAAGCCAAAACAATTCTGGAGAAAAAGATCAAAATCAGAGGCATTACACACTGATTTTAAAACATATTGCAAAACTATAGTAATCAAAACAGCATGGTATGGTACTCTCGTAAAGTCAGATACACAGGCCAATAAAACAAAATAAAGAGCTCAGAAACAAAGCCAGCTATGTACAGTCAATTCATCTACAACAAAGATGGAAAGAATACACAGTGGGGAAAGGATAGTGTCTTCAAAAAATGGTGTTGGAAAAACTGGATATCCAAAAGAATGAAATTGGACCCTCACCTTACACCATATATTAAAAAATCAGGTCAAAATGGATTAAAGATTTAAACATAAGACTCAAAACTGGAAAACTCCTAGAAGAAAACAGAAAATGCTTTATGACATTGCTCTTGGCAATAACATCTTAGATATATACCAAAAGCACATACAAAATCACTTGACAGGTGGAATCACACCAAACTGAAAAGGTTTTATGTAGCAAAAGAAATAATCAACAGAGTGAAAAGGTAACCTACGGATTGGGAGAAAATATTTGCAAACCATATATCTGATAAGGGATTAATATCCACATTATATAAATAATTTTTACAACTTAACAGCAAAAAAAAGTAACGATTTTTAAAATAGACAAAGGAATAGACATTTCTCAGAAAAAGACATTTAAATGGCCTACAGGTACACTAAAAAGTGATCAACACCGCTAATCTCCAGGGAATCACCACAATGAGATATCACCTCACGTTAGGATGGCCAATATAAAAAAAAAAGGGAAAATAACAAGAGTTGGTGAGGATGTTAAGAAATTAGAACCCCTATGCATTCTTGGTGCAAACATAAAATGGTAGAGCCACCATGAAAAACAGTATGGAAGTTTCTCAAAAAATTCAAGATAGATTTACCACATGATCCAGCAACGCCACTTCTGAGTATTTATCCAAAAGAATTGAAATCAGGAACTTGAACTTGTGCACTCCTATGTTTATTGCAGCATTATTCACAACAGCCAAGAAGTAGAACCATCCTAAATATCCAATGATGTTAAAGGATAAAGAAAATGTGGCATATGGATACAATTTTGTTTGGCCATAAAAATAAGAAAATCTCTTTATATGTTACAACATGGGTAAGCCTTGGGAAAATTATGAGAAGTGGGATAAGACAGTGTCAGAAGGACAAATACTGCATAATTCCACTTATGAGTTATCTGAAGAAGTTAAATTCATAGAAACAGAGTAGAACGGTGTTTGCAAGGGGCTGAGGGAGGGAAAATGGAAGTTGCTGTTCAATGGGTATGATGTTTTAGTCATGCAAGATAAAAAGTTCTAGAGATTTGCCATCCAACATTGTACTTTTAATTAACAACACTGTACTGCGTACTATAAAAATGTGTTAAGAAGGTAGATTTCATAATGCATCTTTTTCTACAATTTTAAAAAGAGGTAAAACAATTAAGAAGCCCAAAGTCTGATGTCCCAGATATTGGAACTATCAGACAAGGACTATAAAATAACTGCAATCAATATGCTAAAGGATCAAATAAAAAGGTAAAAAGCATGCATAAATATATAAAATTTATCAGAAATATGGAAACTCTAAGAAAAAATCAAATGGAAATGTTGGAATATTTTTAACACAATATCAGAGATAAAGAATTCCACTGATAGGTCATAAGTAGACTTGACAGAGCTCATGAAATAACCAGTGAATTGAAAATCCATTGGTCTGTCTTATCTGATTTTGTAAATTTATAGATTGATCATTTAAAAATATAGGTTCACTTTGTTATACAGATCTTCTAAATGTTGGCACCCTTTATTATATAATAATTCTAATATACTTTTAATATTACCACCAATCTCATCACAAAAGCCTCCAATTATTGAAAAGCCATCAAGCTCATGGTGGTAAATATAAGTTTTTTAAAATTCTAATTTGTGCTTGAAAACTGAAGTTTTACCATCGGCAGAAAACATTCCTTTTCTCAGTGTGACAGCTCACTTTGTTGGTTTTCAAGAATATAACTGCCAAAAGCCCAATTCTGAATAACAATAGTTTTCATGTAAAAATGATGCTCTATTAAAAAAGTAGCCAATTAAGCTTGTAACTCAAACACAAGGGATTCTCCTCCAGACAAATAAGTAACTCAGTGCTCATACTTCCTATGTCACCGAATGGAATATGAAAAGATATGTATTAAAGGGTCAAAATGTAATGAACTTCATGATTTTTATTGCTTCATCAAGTACATGCTTAGCGAAACTGGGCATTTTTAAACTGCAAGTGCACAGCAGTAAAGACTACAATAATAACTAGTCACATCATTTGGCACCTTATTTATACTTATTCATACTACGGCCTTATCCATGCTATGGCATGAGCTATTTTATTTACCATGGCTTTTCCACTGTCAGTGCAAATATAAACACAGTTAAAAGACAATAATGCCTTATTATTATAAATATGCTTTTGGCCTCACAAACCCCTTGAAAGGATTTTGGAGACCCCAGGCATTGGAAGACTACGTTTTGAGAATAACTAGCTCAGTTTTCCACAGCACCTCAAGCTCAAATTGTTTTATTACATCTCTCTGTTGAAAATTCTTCCCCTAAAATTCAGTCATTCTCCTGCATTTCTTCCTTTGAGTGATGGCATCATAGACTAGTCAGTCACTAAATTCTTGAATAATATCAAAAATACAAATAACATCAGCAATAACACTAGAAAATAATATCTTTGGTCTACCACTCTCTCCCACTAACACTCATATTCATCCTGAAATTTATCTGAGTGAAATTACTTGTATATATATATTGTCTGCCACCCCATCCCACTTTCTCCACTTTTATTGTTATGCTGTAGTTTCCTATAATCTCTTGTTCATAACATTATTGTAATACACTAACAATTTCCCCTGCTTTCAGTCTCACCCCACCCTCCCCCATCATCAATCTTCCATACTGCTATCAGAGTAATCTTTCTAAAATTCAAATCACTTTCCACAGACTATTGGTCCCAACACTGTAGAATTACATGCAAAATCCTCCCTGATTGATGCTTGCCTACCTCCTCAGCTTAAACCTGTCTACACACAAGACATTCTAAGCATAGGACATTTTGCGCCTTCCCGCCTTTGACCCTTGATATGTTCCTACCTATTCTTGAGGATTCAGCTAGTGAATATTCTCACCCAAGCAAAGTGGATTATCTGCTCTTAAAAATTTGAGGAAGGAGAAAAAGCCAGCCATGGAAAGAATAAAGGAAAGAGCCTTCTGAAAAGAACATGTGCAAAGGCACAGTGCATCCCTCAAAATGTAAGTACTGGAAATTGGGACATGATTACCTTATAACCATGTTATTTCAGGATCTTGCTATATGTAATTTTTAAATTTTAGTTCATCATTTTTTACCAGTATCATGTACAATTCTTAATACTTACTGAAATAGAGGGCTACTCAACAGGAGTGCCCTTATTTTTAAAGTAGTAATTATTAGAATACTAGACATCATAATATGCTGATCCAACATTTTAGAGAAATCATTTGAAAAAAAAAACAAGATTGGTATATATTTCAAATGAGATTTTAAGGAATGTCCCCATCTTGACCAGAACTAAACAATATATACCACTAAAGTAAGATTTACGCAAAAAAGAAACCTCAGCGCAATTCACTAGAAAAAGACATCGTCCTGTACAGAAAAGGAAAACGTGTTTAAAACTGCCAGAATGTCCTCCTTATTCTGTGTTATCTTCTCTCTTAAGGACAATGAGATCTGTTTGCATTTCTTTAAGCAAATTCTGCTGTGCCTTTGTCTATGGTTAATGAGTATGTCAGAGAATCTGATTGTCAGTTAGCTTAAAAAAAAAAAAAAACTTGGCAGTGATAGCTAGGCATTTAATTTTCTCATGAATCGGGTGAGCTCCTCCAGAGAAGTCCCATTTATTGGGATACTGGATTCTATTATCCTTCATACTATTAATCAGAAATATTTAGTGATCCATACTTCTGTATTTATCCAGAACAAAATTATTGTTCTTAATGATGGCTCCGATGTGCTATAACATCTTGAAATATATTAATAATCTGAATCAAAGAAAGTTTATATATTTTTCTTTCCTAAAGTATAGATCTGATCATGCCACTGACCCACTTAGATGTTTTTGTTTTAATCCATTGCCTACAGCAATGACTGAAGTTTTTCCCAAACTATGTTCTATGAAGCACAGGTTTCCCTTGACATGTTGATAAGAGTTCTGGAAGCAAAGATTCTGTGGTTAAGTACATTTGAGAAACATCATGTTAAACATGATAAAATAGGTCTTTACTGTAGGGTATTTTTACCCTTTAATGTACCACTATGTCCTATGAATGCCTGGGAGGAGGAACTATGCAACATTTCCCAAACTTGTTTATCCATAATATTTTGGAGAAAATTTTCAAGGTCTATCAAATAGCAGCATTCAGTGAAAAACTGGCTTTCTGAATAAAGTGCCAGCTATTTATATTGTATTCAAAGCCTCATTACCTTGCAATTAGGCCTTGGTTTACCTTTCCTGCCTTATCTTCCTCTACCGGCCCAGCATAATTATATTCCAGCCATACTTGACTACTAGCCATTTTTGAAGCATACTCCTCAATTGCTCACCTCTATACTGTACCATTCTACCTACTATACCTATTTTGCTGTCTCTGCTAACAAGCCCTACTCATCTTCCCAGATCATAATCATCTCCCCTCAAAACCATTCAAGTCTTAAGACTCAATGCTGTAAGAGCATCTTTGTGCAACAGTGTGCATACAAGTGAGATAAACTCTGTGCTTTCCTCATCACTGTAAGTGACTTGTGGGCAAGGGAAATGTTGACACATTTTACTATCACTTAAGAATCTATAGTAGATACTATATAGTAAGCACTCAATTTCTTATTATGGAAACTAAGGGCTGGGTGCGGTGGCTCACACCTGTAATCCCAGCACTTTGGGAGGCAAGGCAGGCGGATCATGAGGTCAGGAGATTGAGACCATCCTGCCAACATGGTGAAACCTCATTTCTACTAAATATACAAAAATTAGCTGGGTGTGGTGGTGTGTGCCTGTAGTCCCAGCTACTTGGGAGGCTGAGGCAGGAGAATCACTTGAACCCAAGAAGTGGAGGTTGCAGTGAGCTGAGATCACGCCACTGCACTCCAGACTGGCGACAGAGCAAGACTCTGTCTCCAGGGGGGAAAAAGAAGTTGAAGTTTAGTTTTCAAAAACTATATTTCTGGGATAATCAGTTATCTGTATTTTATGTATGGTAATGATTACTTCACATATTTGATGAATTATAAATTCTTCATTACCTAATTAGGCTTAATAACAGTTTGCTGATAACAGGGCATTCAAAAAGATTTTTAGCATATCCACAATAACACATTCTATAGGAAATGGGCCCAAATCAAACCAAAATTAGCCCATTTTCTAAACTGACAAATAAATTGAATGTGAAAAGTGAACATGGATAAACTTATAATTAACTCCCAATTTATCTGCAGACAATAACAGTCTCAGATCATGGTCAACAATAGCTCATGAGTAGTAAGAAAGGGACTGTACAGCCCTACAAAACAATGCCCTTGATTTACAGAATAATCTGAACTCTTTTTTTCTAGTACTTAAAAAAATTATTTTTCTTTAGAGAAAGATTGGCAACATATGAGCACTAGACATTTCCTTTTTGAAAAAAAAAACTTCTTTTATTGTTGTAAGACATACACAAAATTTATCATTTTTACCATTTTTAAGTGTGCACAGTTAAGCAGTATTAAGTACCTTCCCATTGTTGCACAACCATAACCATCACACACCTCCAAAACTTTTCATCTTCCCAAATGGGAACATTGTACCATTAAACAGTAACTCTCCATTCTCTCCTACCACCTTGTAACCACCATTCTACATGTTGCACATTGAGTATCCTTTATCCAAAATTCTTGAGACCAGAAGTGTTTTAGACTTCAGATTTTTTCAGAATTTGGAATATTCACATTATGCCAGTTGAGCATCCCAAATCCAAAAATCCAAAATCTGAAACGCTCCAACGAGCATTTTCTTTGAGCATCATGTCAGCATTCAAAAAGTTTCAGATTTTGGAGAATTTCCCATTTCAGATTTGCGATGTCAACCTGTACTTTCTATTTCTATGAATTTCACTACTCTAGGTACTTCATATAAGTGGAATCATAGAGTATTTGTCCTTTTCTGTCTGGCTTATTTCACATATAATGTCTTCCAGGTTCATCATACTGTAGCACATGTCAGAATTTCATTCCTTTTTAAGGCTGAATAATATTCCATTATGTGTATATCACATTTTGTTTATCCATTCATCCATCGGTAGACATTTGGGTATTTCCAGGGCAACATACTCTTAATTTAATCCCACATTTTAAGACTTACAGGTAATTTAAATTCAATTCAACTTACTGAGTATTTACTAAGGGTAACTCACTACGGGAAGTACTGTGGGAAATACAAGGGTAAATCAGACATGGTGCCTGCTCTCAAGGAACTTATGATACACTGGGAAAAGAGAAGAGAAAGAAGTAGAAGTAACCAGCATTTGCTAATTGCTTGCCATGTGCCAGGTGCTTTACCCAATCACTGCATGTATAGCTCCCAATGACTCTGTAAGTTAGATATTGTAATATCTACTTTATATAGGAAGAAGAATGAAGGCACTGAGAACTTAAGTAACCACCTCCAAAGCTGGGATTTAAACTCACATCTTGGATTCAGAGGCCTGTGTTCATTCCACTACACATGTTGTTCCCTAGGATTCAAGGCAGAATGTGATAAACCCTGGGGGAGAAGCTACAGGAAGGTAGAAGAGGAATAGAAGAGATTGCCCCTTGCCTGAGGGTAAAGGCACATGACAAAGGTAGGTCTTAGAGGTCAGGAAGGCTTATGTTTGACAGAGATGGAGGGTGGAAAAAATTGCACAAGCAGAGCAAAATGAGGGAGGCAGGAAAGTTCAGTACATACTTAGGGCCCAGTGGAATTGTGGACCACAAGGCTGGAAAGTGATGCGGGGAAAAATCACGGTCATAATGAAATGCTAGCTCAAGGGGTCTGAACTCCACCATCAGGCAACGGTGAGCCACTGTAGGTTTTCTGAGATGGGCCATAGTCAGAGCTATGCTTCGGGAAGATCACCATGGCAATAATGCATCACAAGAATGGAGGGGGTGAGGGTAGTTTAAAGGTAGGAAAAGCAGTTAGAAGGTCACTGGTGACAGCAGTTGAGGCTTAATTAGTCAGAATGGAAAAGAGGATATGGAGGTAAGAGATATCTTAGAGGTGGGAATGACAGAACTTGGCAATCACTGCATTTCATAATGCATCGAGTAGGCTGACCATATATCCTGGTTTGCCTGGGATATGTTTTCCTGATGTAATTACTAATGGCACCCTTTTACTCTCAAAAAGGTTTGGACAATAAACTATATAATCATATTAATTAGGGGCAATTAGTAAACAGAATCAAAGGTGACTCCAAGATTTTAAACCTGGATTGGTAAGGAAAGTGGTAACACCTTTGGAAACACAGAAGGGAAATCAGGTTTTGGGGAAAGATGTGGAGTTTTGATCTGGACATGTTAACTTTGCTGCTCAGGTGAGGATTTATTTAAGAGCGAGAAGCACCTTGCCCACGGATTTCCCCTGTATCACATGAAGGAAGGCATCATTGACCTCATCCAGCTTGAAAACCATTCCGACATATGGTTGGATGCGCCCTTGCTGGCAGTACCGAAGCACTGAAGATAGGCTCTTGGAGAAGACGGGAAAGTTCATTTTTTGTATTGACCACAGTACAGGCCCATAGCAGAGATATTCTTCAGGAGCAGAAGGTTGGCTGGTACAGAAGCAATGTTTCCTCCAGCAAATCCCACCACCACAATCCTGCCCTCCCATGCCAGGCAGCTTCCTCACTGAATCCTTCAGGCTGCCCTGACTGTAGTTCACGCTGGACTGCGCACCCTTCTGCCATCGCCAGCTTGCACTTCTCGTCACTTCCAGCAGCAGCTATATTACCTTGGCCTGAAGAAATTTGTTGCCACATCACTGCAAGGCCTGTGGCTCCAGCTGCTGCCGTCACTAAAACAATTTCTCCAGGCTGGGTACGGGCCCGATGCTCAAGAGCAAAACTCTCAGTGCCATAAGTTATAGGGAGGACAGCAGCTTCTTGTAGGGAGACCTTTTCTGGAATCTGCCACAGGTCCTCGTGAGGCCCGACGGGGCGGGGGCCACCTCTTCGATGGTCAGGGACTACTTCAGCTCTGCGCAAATCGTGGCACGGTAGTGCCGGCCGCTGCCCTGTCCGGCGTTCCTGCACACCCACGCCCTAGGGAGGCACGGTCTGTAGAGCACCGCCGCCATGGCCAGGCCGAGCGAGGGGCCCACTGGACATTTCAACTCATTCTCCTCCACTCTCAAAAAAGATGTAAGAAAACTTTTATTTTATATTCCTATCAGTTGTAGCACACAGGATGGTTAAAGGAAAGGATTTCCTGCTCTCCTATCCCCAAATCCCCTCCTTTCGCAAATATTTTTGCTCTTGTGTTTTTGAGGTCATTATCTGAATTAAGGTAAAAGAAAAACAAGTGGAGAGAAGGAGTTTAACAGGCAGTGAAAGAAGACAGGTGTTTTTAAGAAAAATAAACCTTTTAATTTGCATTTCAGAAGTCCACATGCAAAGCAAGTCCCCAAAACATGAAGAATAAAAAACAGACCCCTTCTACATACATTTCCCCTTCTCTTCTCTTTCCCAGCTTCTTCCTCATTTCCTTCCTGAATTTTCCATCCTGAAAGCCTTTTAGATGCGACAGAACAAGGTCGCTGTCCATGCAGAGGAGGAGTTTGGTGTAAGGCATGAGTCCTCAAACTCTATGGTTAATTGAGTATTCCATCTACTGATCATGCACATAAGAATGTTTGAATTCATCTCGTCGTATGACAGCTTTTTGAGGAAGAAAGGAAGGGGGTGAATATGCTTATAAGTACTTGAGATAGAAGGTGAGATATTGAGGGCCTTGGCTTTGACTGACACTAAAGCGTCAGAGAAGGAAAAGTTGCTCGGTTTAAAAAATATAAAAAGAAGGTAAGTCGTTTTGTTGTTTTTCTTGCTTTCTTGCCTGGTCCTTAAAGGAAGTTACAGAAAGGAGAAAAAGGAAGGAAGAAAGGAGAAGCCAATAAGGCAAGAAAGGCTGAGATGGGTAGAAGTTCTTTGCAGTGGCAATGCAAAGGGCAGATATTTTCAAATGGGTAGCACCTATGTCGAGAATTAAGTCATCTGTTTCACAGTATTGTATACTTCTCCTCAGACTCCACCGTGCAGCCCTCAATAAATCAATGCTTTCTATGGACGATATGGAGTAAAACTAAAGAGATGTGAATTTCATATCTGGGTCAACATATGAAAACATAAGAATTCAGAAGGAGCTAAAAAGCCATTGCAATGTAAGACTCCTGAAAATTAGCATAATTCTAGGTGCAAGGTTTTGTATTTTCACAAGCTATGGTTTTAGCAAGCTTGAGGTCCATGTATATCTACTAGGACTTGAACTGCAGTTCAACCACTTTATTAGCAATATTACCTTGAGTAAGCTAATTTTTCAGAGACTTCATTTCTTATCTGTAAAATAAACATAATGGCAGTGCCCCCATTGTGTGCCTAGAGCTTAGTAAGCACCTATTAATTTTAGCTATGTAAACTTTAAAGTGCTTGGCAAATGGGTTTGCTAAGAGCTGGGGCTCTTGAAGAGCTACTGCTACAAAGTGAAAAATGCAAATACTTTATTAAAGAAGCATCCTTTGCTATTGTGAGTAGTGCCGCAATAAACATATGTGCACATGTGTCTTTATAGCAGCATGATTATAATACAAAAAATAAAAAAAGAAGCATCCTTTAAACCAGCTTGAAATTTCCTTGAAAATCAAGTCTCTCTTGTCTTGTAAAGCAGTCCCACTATGACCTTCAGTACCCCATGGAAAGGACTGTGATGTCCCAAGAATTCTTTTCTGTCAGTCCCCGCTGTACAGTTGCTTGAGTACTTACAGAAATTGTAAGAGGGGTCATAAAGAGAAGAGTTAATTTGTCCCCCTCCAAAAATTTGCTGATATATATATATAAAACAGCTATATGTGTATATATATATATAGTCTGATTTTACAGGTTAGCTGCTCAGAGAGAAAACTGTAGAGCAACAAAGAAATAACTGGAACTGAGTGCTAAAGACAATCAATCCCAATAGAATTCTGAGGTGGTGGATCAGACCAATGAATCATCAATGCACAGGAGCTGCCACCCCTGACCAGGCCTATGGAATGGCTGGTACTCCCCTAACCTGGTGCTGAGGTGGCGAAACAGGACCAGGGCCAAAGATCTACCTCTTCTTGATCCTTTACTGTGCCCTTGATTAAGCCAGCACAGGATCTGATTTTCCCCAAGCAGGCAACTTCCTAACCACACAACCAGGCTCCCTCTAATGGAAGTGGATGTCTGGTGCTGCTAGATCTCTGTGTTGCCCTAAAGTGTAAGAAGAACAGAGGTACACACTGTTGGTACTGCTTCTGTATATTTCAGTTTCTGTTAATAAACCCAATTCCAAAGAACTTGGGATGTATGTGCAGCCTGGCTATTTATCTTTGCTTTCTTATTAGAACTCAAGGGAGTCCTCTACTTTTTGGACAATTGTTTTCTGTAATATTAGCTCTACAGTTAATTGAACATTCCACCTGCTAATCATAAAAAAAGGTAAACACAACACAGTGAGAGAGAAGGTATGCAGTTCGTGGCTGACAGTTTACTGGACAGTTCTGCACAGGAGAGTATCTGATGGGATTAAATTTAGGAGCAAAAGTAAGTGCCACTTTCTAGTTACTAGCCTTGAGCTTTTTCTAGCACTGAACCATTTCCACCTCCTCTATATCTTCTCTCAACTGTCTTGTCCAAAGACATGATTATTACTTTAATTAGCTCCTTTCTTGGATATTTCTTATTAAGACAATCTATTTTAGCAGTATATAGCTAATGATTCCTTCTTGTAATTTTGCTAAGAGAAATAACTAGTAATTTTTACAAGCTTATTTATAAATATTAGCAACCACAACCAAAAAACATAAAACATAAAGTCAGTAGCTAGATCTACACAATATTTGGAAGGGATTTAGATTATGCCCAATGTGACTCCATTTGTAAAGATTATAAAAATTCCCACTTATAAGAAAGTAAAAATTGCAAGCAGATTGCACATCTTTAAGGACATAAATAATAATCATAAGTGGGATCTACAAGCCAAGTAACAGAGGGTTGGTTGAGAGCTGAGGATAGATATGTAAAGTAAAAGGAGCTGGGGAAAGGCAGAAAGAATGGGCTATTTGAGCTAAACTCATAAATTTATATTTTTGCTTTACCAAGAAGATAGCTTCTCGTGTCCATTGAAAAACAAGAATGACAAAAATATATGAGATTGGAAGTATACTCTTTTAATACGGAAGAGTATAAGTTGAACTCTTACCAAACACCATGCACAAAAATTAACCCCAAATGGATTAAACACCTAAATGCAAGACTTAAAACAATAAAACTCTTAGGAAAAAAACAAAGGGCAAAAGCTTCACAACACTGGATTCTGCAAATATTTCTTAGATATAACAAAAAAGACACAGGCAACAAAAGAAACAAAACTAGATAAACTTCATTCAAAATGTTTTAAATTTATGCATCAAAATTTATTATCAAAAGAGTAAAAAGAGAACCCACAGAATGAGAGAAAATACTTGCAAATCATACCCGATGAAGGGTTGGTCTCCAGAGTATATAAAGAATTCCTAAAACTCAACATAAAAACAATTTACAAATAGGCAAAGGAGTTAAATAGGCATTTATTCAAAGAAGATACATGAATAGCCAACAAGTCCTTGAAAAGGTGTTCAACATTACTAATCATTTAGGAAATGCAAATCAAAACCACAATGAGGTAATCACCTCATACCCGTTAGCATAACTACTATCAAAAAGATAGAAAATAACAAGTGCTGGCGAGGATGTGCAGAAATTGGAATCATTGTGTGTAAAATGGTACAGCCATGGAAAAACAGTATGGAAAACAATATGGTGGTCCCTCAAAAAATTAAAAACAGAATTACCATATGATACAGCAATTCCACTTCTATGTATATATCCTAGAGAATTAAAAGTAGAGTCTTGACCATGTTCATAGCAGTATTCACAATACCTAAAATGTAAAAGCAACCCCAAAGTGTCCATTAACAGATGATGGATAAGCAAAATATGATATATAGATAGACAGACACACACACACACAATGGAATATTATTCTGCTTTTAAAAGGAAGGAAATTCTGCAATATGCTACAACATGGATGAAACTTGAGGATATTATGGTAAGTTAAGTAAGCCAAACACAAAAAGACAAGCTATATGTCTCTACTTATATTAGGTACTTAGAATAGGCAAAATCAGAGAAACAAAAAGTAAAATGGTGGTTGCCAGGGAATTCAGGGGAGGTGAAACAGGAACTTTTTGTTTAATGGGCATAGGGTTTCAGTTTGACAAGATAAAAAGAATTATGGAGATGGATGATGGTGATGGTTGCAAAACATTATGAATGTATTTAATACCACTAAACTGTACAGCTAAAAGTGGCTAGGAGGGTAAATTTCATGTCATGTGTATTTTACCATAATTTAAAAATTGAAATAAACTATTAAGAGCTTGCCATTTATGCAATAAGTGTTCAACGATAGTGTGAATGACAAAAATATGTGCTAAAGACCATTTGTTTTCAATGACTTACATGAGTTTATCTTCCACACATCTCATAAATGTCAAGATTTCCCAAAGGTCTTGTTTTCTATTGGCACCAACAGCTTCAGTTTCCATATATAGAGTGTTGTACCAATTTACATTCCTACCAACAGTGTATGACTTAATAGATATACACAGCACATTTCATCCAACAACCGTAGAATACACATTTTTTTTTTTTGAGACAGAGTCTCGCTCTGTCACTCAGGCTGGAGTGCAGTGATGCGATCTCAGCTCACTGCAGTCTCTGCCTCCCCAGTTCAAGCGATTCTCCTGCCTCAGACTCCTGAGTAGCACACACGCCCAGTTAATTTTTGTATTTTCAGTAGAGATGGAGTTTCACCACGTTGGCCAGGATAGTCTCGATCTCCTGACCTGATGATCTACCTGCCTTGGCCTCCCAAAGTGCTGGGATTACAGGCATGAGCCACCATTAGCAAAATTAACCAAGAAGAGAGAAATTCCAAATAACCTCATTAAGAAATGAAACGGAAGGTACTGCAACTGATATCACTGAAATAAAAAAGATCATTCAAGGCTACTATGAAAATCTTTATGCACATAAACTAGAAATCCTAAAAGAGATGGATAAATTCCTGGAAAGATACAACTGCCCTAGCTTAAATCAGGAAGAATTAGATACCCTGAACAGACCAATAACAAGCAGTGTGATTGAAATGGTCATAAAATTACCAACAAAAAAGAAGTCCAGGACCAGATGGATTCACAGCAGAATTCTACCAGATATTCAAAGAAGAATTGGTACCAATCCTTTTGACACTATTCCATAAAATAAAGAGGGAACCCTCTTAATTCATTCTATGAAGCCAGCATCACCCTAATACCAAAACCAGGAAAGGACATTACCAAAAAAGAAAACTACGGACCGACATCCCTGATGAACACAGACGCTAAAATTCTTAACAAAATACTAACTAACTGAATCCAACAACATATTAAAAAGATAATCCACCAATATCAAGCGAGTTTCATACCAGGGATGCAGGGATGGTTTAACATATGCAAGTCAATAAATGTGATACACCATATAGACAGAATTAAAAACAAAAATCACATGATCATCTCAACAGATGCAGAAAAAGCATTCGACAAAATCTAGTGTCACTTTATGTTTAAAACTCTCAGCAAAATCGGTATACAAGGGACATACTTCAATGTAATAAAAATCAACTATGATAAACCCACAGCCAACATAATACTGAAAGGGGAAAAGTTGAAAGCATTCCCTCTGAGAAGTAGAACAAGACAAGGATGCCTACTCTCACCACTCCTCTTCAACATAGTACTGGAAATCCTAGCCAGAGTAATCAGACAAGAGAAAGAAAAAAAGGGCATCCAAATTGGTAAAGAGGAAGTCAATACTGTGTTGAATAGGAGTGGTGAGAGAGGACATCCTTGTCTTGTGCAGTTTTGAAAGGGAACACTTCCAGGTTTTGCCCATTCAGTATGATATTGGCTGTGGGTTCGTCATAAATAGTGCTTATTATTTTGAGATACATTGCATCAGTGCCTAGTTTATTGAGAGTTTTTAGCATGAAGGGGTGTTGAATTTTATTGAAGGGCTTTTCTGCATCTATTGAGAGATAATCATGTGGTTTTTGTCATTGGTTCTGTTTATGTGACGGATTATGTTTATTGATTTGTGTATATCCAACCAGCCTTGCATCCCAGGTATGAAGCCGACTTGATCATGGTGGATAAGCTTTATGATGTGCTGCTGGATTCAGTTTGCCAGTATTTATTGAGGATTTTTGCATCAATGTTCATTAGGGATATTGGCCTGAAATTTTCTTTTTTTGTTGTGTCTCTGCCAGGTTTTGGTATCACGATGATGCTGGCCTCATAAAATGAGTTAGGGGGGAGTCCCTCTTTTTCTATTGTTTGGAATAGTTTCAGAAGAAATGGTACCAGCTCCTCTTTGTACCTCTGGTAGAATTTGGCTGTGAATCCATCTGGTCCTGGGCTTTTTTTCGGTGTAGGCTATTAATTACTGCCTCAATTTCAGAACTTGTTATTGGTCTATTCAGGGATTCGACTTCTTCCTGATTTAGTCTTGGAAGGGTGTATGTGTCCAGGAATTTATTCATTTCTTCTAGATTTTCTATTGTATTTGTGTAGAGGTGTTTATAGTATTCTCTGATGGTAGTTTGTATTTCTGTGGGATCAGTGGGTATATCCCCTTTATCATTTTTTATTGTGTCTATTTGATTCTTCTCTCTTTTCTTCTTCATTAGTCTGGCCAATGGTCTATTTTGTTAATCTTTTAAAAAAACCAGAGCTCTGGGATTCATTGATTTTTTTGAAGGGTTTTTCGTGTCTCTATCTCCTTTAGTTCTGCTCTGACCTTAGTTATTTATTGTCTTCTGCTAGCATTTGAATTTGTTTGCTCTTTCTTCTCTAGTTCTTTTAATTTTGGTGTTAGAGTGTCGATTTTAGATCTTTCCTGCTTTCTCCTGTGGGCATTTAGTGCTATAAATTTTCCTTTAAACACTTCTTTTGCTGTGTCCCAGAGATTCTGGTACATTTTGTCTTTGTTCTCATTGGTTTCAAAGAACAAACTGTCACTGTTTGCTGGCAATATAATTGTTTACCTCAAAAACCTTAAAGACTCCTCCAGAAAGCTCCTAGAACTGATAACAGAATTCAGCAAAGTTTCCGGATACAAGATTAATGTACATAAATCATTAGGTCTTCTATACACCAACAGCAAACAAGCAGAGAATCAAATAAAAAATCAACCCCTTTTACAATAGCATAAAACACACACACACACACACACACACACACACACACACACACACACACACACACACACTTAGGAATATACCTAACCAAGGAGGTGAAAGACCTCTACAAGGAAAACTACAAAATACTGCTGAAATAAATTATAGATGACACAAGTAAATGGAAACACATCCCATGCTCGTAGATGGGTAGAATCAATACTATGAAAATGACCATACTGCCAAAAGCAATCTTCAATTTCAATGCAGTCCCCATCAAAATACCACTATCATTCTTCACAGAATTAGAAAAACATTTATAAAATTCACATGGAACCAAAAAAGACACTGCATAGCCAAAGCAAGACTAAGCAAAAAGAAAATACCTGGAGGCATCACACTACCTGATTTCAAACTATAAGGCCATAGTCACCAAAACAGCATGGTACTGGTATAAAAATAGGCATATAGATGAATAGGACAGAGAGAGAACCCAGAAATAAACCCAAATACAGCCAACTGATCTTTGACAAGGCAAACAAAAACAAAGTGGGGAAAGGATACCCCTTTCAACAAATGATGCTGGGAAAATTGGCTATCCATATGTAGGAGAATAAAACTGCATCCTCATCTCTCACCTTATACAAAAATCAACTCAAGATGGATTAAGGACTTAAATCTAAAACCTGAAACTATAAAAATTTTAGAAGATAGCACTGGAAATACTCTTGTAGACATTGGCTTAGGCAAGGATTTCATGACCAAGAACCCAAAAGCAAATGCAATAAAAACAAGCTAAATAGCTGAACTTAATTAAACCAAAAAGCTTTTGCATGGAAAAAGTGGGAAAAAAATCTTCACAATCTATACATCTGACAAAGGACTAGTATCCAGAATCTACAATGTACTCAAACAAATTAGTAAGAAAAAAACAAACAGTCCCATCAAAAAGTGGGCTAAGGACATGAATCGACAATTATCAAAAAAAGATATACAAATGGCCAACAAACTTATGAAAAATGTTCTACATCACTAATGATCAGGGAAATGCAAATCAAAACCACAATGCAATACCACTTTACTCCTGCAAGAATGGCCATAATCAAAAAATCAAAAAGCAGATGTTGGCATGGATGCAGTGGTCAGGGAACATTTTTACACTGCTGATGGGAATGTAAACTAGTACAGCTACTATGGAAAACGGTTTTTAAAGAACTAAACGTAGAACTACCATTTGAGTCAGCAATCCCACTACTAGATATCTACCCAGAGGAAAATAAGTCATTATACAAAAAAGATACTTGCACATGCATGTTTATAGCAGCACAATTCACAATTGCAAAATCATGGAACCAACCCAAATACCCATCAATCAACAAGTGGATAAAGAAACTGTGGGGTGTATGTATACAACGGAATACTACTCAGCCATAGAGAGGACTGAATTAGTGGCATTTGAAGCAACCTGAATGAGATTGGAGACTATTATTCTAAGTGAAGTAACTCAGGAATTGAAAACCAAACATCATATGTTCTCACTGATATATGGGAGCTAAGCTATGAGGATGCAAAGTCATAAGAATGATGCAGTGGACTTTGGGGACTTGGGGAGAAGGGTGGGAGTGGGGTGAGGATTAAAAGACTATACACTGGGTATAGTGTACACTGCTTAAGTGAGGGTGCACCAAAATCTCAGAAACCACCACTAAAGAACTTACTCATGTAACCAAATACCATCTGTACACCAATAACCTATGGGAAAAATAAGAGAAATGTGGAATATCTACTCTGGATCGTTCTGTGGAAATTGGAATGTCATAAGTGACTATGAACTAACTCTCATGAATGTTATCCTCCTAGTAACTCAAACATGGAGAACTAAACTACTGGCAGAATGAGGATGGAAATAGTTTTTGGTGTAAAACTGGTTCCTATGGCTACAGAAGAAAAGTAGCTCTCACATAGAAAGAACCTAATGTGCAGGAGCAACAAAGGACACCCTCTGAAAGACTGAGCATCTCAAATGGTTCTCTCTTGGCCATGGAAAAGTACTGTTTTTCATATAGTTTACATTTTTCACCATCTACACTGTAATTCCATAGAGTTACCCAAATCTTTGCACAAATCCTCATAGAGCATTATATGATATTCATGTGGAACATGAAGCACTTGCCTTTCTCAATGTACCTTCTTGGAAGCAGCAGCTCCTACTGAGGTCTCTGTGTCTGGAAGTCCCAGGAAGAGATCAGCAGAGAAGAAGGTGGCCCACCTAGGAAACAGAAGCAGCAAGGGAGAGCACTCGATACCAATGAGTACCAGCTGCAGAACACCTCAGAGCACATGTGAGATCCTCTACCCACCCATCATTTGGCCAGGAAGTATCAAAATGCTGCAAAGCCAGACCTGATTTTCAGCTTATATTCTGAGCCCCAAAAAATGACTACTTGAACTGGAAAGGAACAAAATAAAATCCTGCCCATGGTCTCAGCCCTCCAAGGAGAATGCTCCTGGCTGTGAGAGTGCAGATGCAGGACTGAGCATTTAAGTTAGATGGAGAGCAGCAAGGCCATGCAAACACACAAAAGTGATTTCTCTGGAACGAACATAGCAGGCAGCCAGGATTTTCAGAGCAGATTGGAGTGAAGTGTGGCATTTTGTGAAAATCAACAGGTGAAGATATTGTGTTGAAGGGAAACATGGGGTAAAATAAGAGACAAGGTGATAAATAGTAAACCCTTATACAAGAATGCAGCCATGGCAGAGATTATATTCTCTAGTTGTCACCAATCTTTTTTGTAAACAATAAGCTCCAATTTTAACTAAAAGACAGCAGTTCCTAGCCTCTGGTAGAGCAGACAGTTTGCTAAGTGGGTAAGTTCTGGCCAATGAAATGCAAGCAGAAGCACTCAGTGGGACTCTTGGGAAGGCTGATTGAAGCTATATGTCTCTTTGTAAGTCACTGTTATCCTTCCTTTTTTCTTCCTGTGTTCTGTAACTTGGACATGACAGCTGGAAGATCAATAACCTCCTAAGACTATGAGGTGACCTTCAAGATGGCAGCACATGCTGGGATGCAGGAGCTAAAACTGAGAAAAAGCCTGACTCCCTGATGACTATGGAGCTACCAAATTCACTTTGCACTATTCTATCTCTGGATTTCTTTTGCAACAGAGAAAAATAAACATCTGTTATTATATTTAAGTAACTATTATTTTAAGTTTTCTGTAATTTGGCTACACCTAATCCTAAGTGATATAATAACTTCTGGCATGACTCTCCTACAGCGTGGAATCTGTAGGACAGTAATGCCCAGAAGACACACAAGTGAACATCAGCGCAAGTCAAGGAAGTGTACAGACCAGAAAGGAACTGTTAACTTGGGTATATACTGTTGTTACTGAGAAATATCTAAGTATAGGATTCAAAGCCCTTGTACATTTACACATAAAATATGTTTATAGAAAATCATATCATTTTTATTCCAGAATATAAATTCTGTTATTCTCAACAAATCCTTTTGTCATCTTCATAAAGTTTAGAGATAAAGAAACTCACCAGCAGTTACAGGGCCTGGGACTCTGTCTCATACGATCAAGTATCTGGTGCCTATAGTGAGCTATCTGGTGCCTATAGTGAGCTAAAACACACATCAGCAGCACTGTCTATATAAATATATAAAGCTGGACCACAAACTAGTGGCTAGATCTACAACACTGACATTTAAAGACTTATTCCTAAGTATGACACGTTACTCAGTCACCATAGAAAACAATGCAAAGTATAAAGCATGGTCTCGTCCCTTAATCTGCTTACTTACATTCAATTATGTGCTGGGCATCTACGATGCACGAGTACATACTAGACACTAGAGACAGAAAGTTTATAAGAGGAATTCTCTGCACTCAAGGAACCAACAATTTAGAAAGAAATAAACAGTATTATGAAAGGGAAGGGCCTTAGAATTCATAGGAAAGGAACTGATCAGTCACATGAGAGTAAGGAAATGCTCCCACACAATGACATTGTAAAAATTTATTTAGCTCACCAAGAAACTCTAGGTACAGGTAGTGTGTGGAATACCCAGGCAGGGAAAGTCATGCATAAAGCAGGAAGATTAGAGAGGACAAGGTACATTTAGAGTATAACTGGTTTGTTGAATGAGTGGCATTTGATGGGATATACACAGACAACATTATTTTTCTCCCATCACAGGGTTTAACATGCATCTCTGGATCTTCTCTGCCCCTAGCCCTTTATTGCCATCATGGGCAAAACCCATCACTTTTCAGTCATTTTCAGCTATAAAAATAGTTTCAATTTCAGATATTAAAAATTACAGGCCACATAAATCAAAATCTTAGTCTAATCAAAATTTAGTCTAATCCAGTCTAGAACTGTTTCAGGCATAAAAGAAATGCTCAATAAATGTCCATTGAAGAACTGAGTTAATCATACCTCATTTGCAATCTCTCTCTTCTCCCCAGCTCATGACTCCCAGACCTGCAGTAGGTAGGGAGCTTGGTCTGTTTTCTCATTTCTCCTACTCTATCTTTTCCCCATCCTTCCAAGCTTCCCCAATGTAGGGAATAAAGAGAAGAGGATTCAGAAGACAGGGGACAGAGGTCTTATTTGGCCAGTATGTTTGTGTTTCTCTCTTGGCTGACTCCAGCTGGATAGCATGCTCTTTATGGAGAATATTCAAATGCTGGTTGTTTCATGAAATACTAGGGAATTCTTTAGAGATATCCCTGATTTCTCTAGAGACTTCTGCAGCGTGTTTGTTTCAAGAAGACAACTCCCCCCTCTGCCTCCAATATTTGGCAAACCCCATCAAGCTCCTGCCCCTGAATGTACACTGTCATACAGAGAATTCAAATGGATCCCCCTCACCTCTGCAGGAGTTAGTTCCTTCCTCCACACCATCCACTTGGCCCATAGGAAATTCTCACAAGCTTTCCCTGACAATGCTGCTTCTATTGACTATTGCCTTGTTGCCTTCATATTGGTACTTACCTCAGCCTACTGCCATTCAAATTCAACGTGGAGATAAAAATTACCAGGCTCCGTGTTCACATATGTTTCTAGTCCCCAAAGGATATTTTCCCTAGGAATCCAATTCTCTGCTTCAGTACATTCCAGAGCCCAAGCCAGCAATTCCATAGTACACTGAACAACTAGCAAGGTTGTAAGATTTGGGGTTTCCCTCTTTCAGACACCTCTGATCTCTATGACGAATACTTTTGATGACTCCTCACATGACTTGGGGAAGAGGATGTGGTCCCTCTGATTTTCACGGACAGAGGGGAAATACCATAGCATCATTTACCACTAGCAATTCTCCTAATTTCCAATCAACTGTTTTTTAAATTTCTAATTTTCTGTTGTATAGGCTGGAGGTGGATTATGGAAAATGATACTTACAAACCCATTTTGCTATTAGAGATGTCTATAGAAATGTTTAGCAGCTCTCTTTAGAAGTTGTAAATACTGATCACCTACCACCTTCAAACTTTAGCAGAAATTCTAAGACAACAAGAAAAGTCCCATTGTACATTCACTAACATGGGCAATATCTATGTTCAGCTCAGTGTGCCAGGAGCTTAAGGTATAAACTGGAGAGTTCCCAGATACAAAGCTGAATAGCTAAGTAGTGGCTAGATCATAAAGGATTTTGTATGCCATGCTGGAAAATTTTCGCTCATTTTAAAAGCATTTCAGAACTATTGAAAAGTTTTCAGCAGGAAAGTGAAAAGGTTACATTTGCATTTTAGCATGTATTCTGACTGCATGAGGGAGAATGGGTTAAGTGTGAGCAATATTCAAATCTGACCAGTTGTAGAAAGCTGTAGCAGTAATCCAGGAAGAAGATGATCACCCCCTAAGCTCAGGAATTGAAGATGCCATGAAGAGGTAGAAGAAAGAGATATTAAGATGGCACAGGACTTCATGTTTACATGTTAAGGAGGCAGTTGGTAAATATGAAGGGAGAGTCACAGATGATGACCCCATTTGTGATTGAACACCTGTTTAGATGATGGAGACACTCAACATAATAGGAACCTTGAAAAAGGGTGATTTGGCGTGGAAGATGATGAATTCAAACTGTGAGAAGGACATGAGCAGTGCAAGGTTGTAAATGACACTTGGTAAAGAAGGGGCATAGTTACAGTGTGTGCCATACAGGTTCAGAGGAAAGGTAGACTCCGTAGGTCTTGTGTGGGCAGAAATGTCCTTGGGAGGAACAGAGATTTGTCTTGCACCTATAAAATCAGGAAGGAGGTCAATAGATAGAGGGAAAGAATGAGGACATTAATAGTAAGGAAACATCATCAGCTAAGTCACAGAAGCCAAAGAACCTTCATAAAACTGCTGCCACACAGATTGGTGATGAGATTGTGGTACTTAGCAAGCTGGTAGAAATTAGCAACGATCTGCATTTTAATAGCAGATATATTCAGAATACACAAAATACTGAGGGAAAGCAATAAACAACCCTATTTCTCTTCTCTGGATTATTACATTCAGCATGAATAGCATAGAGCCAAGTTCACTATATTTTGCATAACATTTTCCTTAAAATAAGACAAGTCTCTCTTTCCTATCTGGCAATTTGATGGTGTTTATCATAAAGAAGTATATTAGTGAATATGAATACTTAAAGCAGGAACAATTGAACTTGGAAGGCATATAAAGCTTTTAGAATGGATACTCATGTCTAACTACTCTGCCATTATTCTTGGAAGGAAGGAAAGAAGGAAGGAAGGAGAGAGAGAGAAACAAACAAGTGAATTAATAAATAAACATTATTCATAAAAAAAGGAGAATCTGTAGAATTTATTTGGACTATTCAGAAGTCTTTGACAGCATTATTCAATAAAAACTGCTTTGAGAATTTAAATTAATGTAGATTTATGGTATAAAAGATGCTTTGTCATGAATGGGGAACTGGTTCAATGTCAGGGGAAAGGGGACAGTGATAAATGGGCAAACTTTTTAAAAATATTGAGGTGATTCACATGTATTCATTTAATTTTGTCCATTCAGAAATCCTGTGGAAGCCATATTATTATTGCCAATAACATGATGAGAAATCTAAATGCTGAAGACCAAGAAAATATCTCTAATTGACTCTGGAAAGGATCACATTAACTTTATAAATCAAAGAAAAGTTTTATGATAAGGTGTTTCTTAAAAATCACTTGTAAATCTGAGATTATGACCTGTAAAATCTCGGGAATCTATTTTCCTCAGAAGGACACATAGAAGACAGTGCTACTTCTACTAATTCAATCTGGTTCTTTTTGACTTTTATAGTAAGAGCATTAACCCATATAGCATTGGCTTTTAAAGAATATAAGCAATATAAGAATCAGAATATGGCACTAACTATGAGCAGAGATATTTTATTCCCTCTTTTCTTTGTGAACTTTTCATTAATACAGCTAATAACAAAAATAAAAAGGAATCCCACTAGCTATTTTCAGTGCCTTTTAATGACTTTTCACATTGCCAAACAGTTCTGTCAGTGGAAACTCAGATTATTCCACTGAGACAGAATGATGAAGTAGGCAGTGGAAGTCTGTTACATATAGCTGAAGAGAAAGAAGCAGAGTTCAGATATGATACTGATACAGTAGCCTGAGTAAATCCAATTACTTGGGACAATCAATTTCCAAATAGGCTATCAGGCCCAGCTAGGACTAAGAGTTTGTTGAAAATCCAGGTTTTTTTATGTTTTTGATTTAAAGAACCCTGCAGAGCATTCCTGTTAATGGAGCTAATCAAACTTGTTAGGCCATAGTGACAACTACACTTATACAACAACATTGTGGTTTTGCTTCTAGCTTCCATTTTAGCTGAGCTTAGTGAAAATGGGAATATAGACTTAAGGGAAAGCTAGTTGGACAAATGCCACAGTATTTTCAATACATCTGAAGTTTCATTTTTTCATATATTGATTTTCTTGCTACATAAATTTACTCAACTCATTCACTTGACCACATTGGACCATATCTTTCCAATTTGAAAAATGTAGATAGTTAATGATAGTATGTGATGTTTCACAAGAGAATGAAAATTCCGTTAACATAAAAAAACTCCAAAACTTCTCAAAGGAAGCTTTATCGAGATAGCATACACCAATAGAAAGAAAGAGGGCCACATGTCTTGCAATTGTCATTAAAGAGCAGGCTTATCTTAGCTGATGGCTCAAAATGAGTTCAAATTCAAATATTATAACAGTGAAGTAAATGTAAGTAATGAAAACAATCTGAGCATTATTTTAACTATTTCAGAAAGTCAATAAGTGTATTAAATTCAGCTTCCTCTTTCTTGTTTTTATTCCTTATAGAAAAGTTTCTCCAATGCTACTTTCAAGGAATAAGGCTATCACCCAAAATACAAACTTAGTATTTGGAAAATCCTGTAATCCTGAAAAGAGAACTCTTCATAGTATAATAGTTGAGCATCAAAAATGAAGTAAGTTATTTATATCCAACCTCTCTGGTCTGTATTTTTTTCTCTCTGAGCCAATGTCTGACTCTCACATTTGTGCACACATGTACAGTCATATATGTTCCTTATTTTAACTTTTCTGATGCTATGACCCCCTTTAATGGCTTTAGCCATTTTATTGTTTTAAATGAGGTTATGCATTATGTCCCTTGTTTATTCTCTATGTTTTATCTTTTCCCCCATTCCCTTGTAAAATTCCTCCGCTAAGGAAGTGAATCTCAATTCCTGACAGAATACAGAAGGCTCAAGGCAATTCACAGTGGCACAGACCAACCAGCACTGCTCATGGCTGCCTGCTCTGGCTTTCACTGAGTGTAGCCAGAGGAAAGAGTAAGTGAAGACACATCTACAGAAAAATAGAAGGCACTTTCATGTTCATTACCTTATTTCAGCCGGAAAGCAACTCTGCAAAGTTGGTAGGATATACATAACATCTCCATTTTACACATGAAAAAAGGCAGGTCTAAAGTAGTCAAACAGATTGCTCAAGTATTGAGAGCTAGTAATCAGTGAAGTCAGATCACAAAAAAATTAGTGTTCTTTTACTAAACTACAATGTTTCCCTAAAGTACGTTACAAAAGAAAGGATCTCAGCCTGGGATATCAAGACATAGACTTGGGATTTCCATTTGTGGAGGACAAGAAAAGGAGAAGGAGTAAGAATAACTACAAATTTTTACCTGAGCAAGTCCCCCCAAACTTCTTTATAAGTTATCCAGTTTCAGGTATTTTTTATAGCAATGCAAGAATGGACAATACAATGTGGAAATTGGGAAAACAACACACTGTTGAAAAAGCATTGAGTCTAAAAGAAATTAAAAGGAAATTAGAAAATACCTGGGGAATCTAATGGAGATGGTTAACTACATGCAGCTAGGAAGTGGCACTTCTACTGAGAAAGACCAAAATTTCAAGTAAACCAACATAATTTGAACAGATCTTCAGAGAAAACAAGAGTGGATGGAGATATGATACAGACACTGAGACTGAAGAAGGAGGAAACTGGGACCCCTGTACAGAGTACCCAAATGCTAGGTTTAGTTCCCAGCCCCAAACAGCTCTTGAGGAAGGGGTGAGTAAAGGGACTGTAGGATTTCCCACTTTCACCATGGACCTCTGGGATCCTAGCTACAGGAGACTCCAGGTCCCTCATGGACATTTGACCTGGTAGGTGAACCTGCCCAGACAGAGAGAGACAGGGCTTCAGCCAGCACAGAACTTGGGGCTTTCATGTGTGGGGCAGCTCCAACAGAGCTTGGCCATAGGCACCCATTTCCCAGGACTCCTTATCTCCCTCTGAGAAGCTCTAGCCTCAGCTGACTGCTGGGCCAGTTGAAAGTAGAGCCAGCTTCCCTTTGGGACTGGGCCACATCTGTTCTGCTGGCCCTCCTGCCTATCAGATTCTCCCAGGGCCCATGCCTGGCTACCCCAGAAGACTATGGGCCCAACACAGTCACTGCTGTACAAGCTAGGTGTTTTGCTCCACCAAGTACATTTCTGTTGTCCTGTGAACACTTCAGATTTTCCATTGCACCTATACCCAACCCTCAGTGTCCAGAGGATGAAGCCACAAGACATTCCCAGTACCCCAGGCTACACTGTGCAGCTTGGGAGTGCCAAGCTAAAATTTGTGGCTGGCATTTAATTGGGGGAGGAGCCAACACCCTCAGAACACTGAGAGGGATGAGACATGTGGTTCTGTGGGCTGGCACAAGAGTAGGACATGCCTCTTTCTGCAGGGCCAGTCCAGAAATTGTGTGAACTGTCTCCCTGTACGGCCTCTACAAAAGTAAGCCCCATAGCCTGAAACACCTAATAAAAGAAAACCAAGTACAGTGCCAGTGATTGGAGGGGGCTCCCAGAGGCCCAGGAGTAGACCTGATGAGAGGGTCACCTCTCCTCCCCCAACACCATAGAGTATGGCTGCAAACATGAGGAAATACATAGGAATCACATGGCTAAGCACGTCTATCTTCCAGCAGTTACTCTTTAGCATCATCTATTGGCTCACAGCCCAAACTGCAACGCCAAAAATATTTTGCTAATATATCCCCCTATGAAACCAAGGGCAAGAATTCAGCTACAAATAAAAACCCTGCACAGAGCCTTGACCCTCTAAAAAGATTTTTAAAAATCCAACTGACTTCACTACAGTGAAGTTGACATTCCTTTAACTTACACCACAGTTAAAGGAACACCAACCCTCCCAGATGAGAAAGAATCAGCACAAGAACTCTGGCAATTCAAAAATCGAGACTGTCCCCTTCTCCAAGCAATAGCAATACCACTAGCTCCCAGCAATGGTTCTGATATGGTTTGGCTGTGTCCCCACCCAAATCTCATCTTGAATTGTAGCTCCCATAATTCCCACATGTTGTGGGAGAGACTGGGGGGAGATAATTGAATCATGGGGGTGGTTTCCCCCATACTGTTCTCATGGTACTGAATAAGCTTCATGAGATCTGATGGTTTTGTGAGGGAAAACACTTTCCCTTGTTCTTATTCTCTCTTGTCTGCCACCATGTGAGATGTGTTTCTTGCTTTCTATCATGATTGTGAGGGCATCCCAAACCACGTGTAACTGTGAGTCCGTTAAACCTCTTTTTCTTTATAAATTACCCAGTCTCAGGTATGTTTTTATCAGCAGCATAAAAATGGACTAATACAGGTTCTCAACCAGTCTCAAATGACAGATAGAGTTCATAATCTTAAAGACAAAGAAGCTCATTAAGATACAAGAAAAAGTTGAAACAAAATCCAAGGAATCCACTAACACGATCCAAGAGTTGAAAGATCAAATAGCCATGTTGAGAAAGAAGCAAACCAAACTCCTAGTGCTGAAAAATCCTTTATAAGAATTCCATAATACAATCTGAAGTATTAACAGTAGAATAGACCAAGCTGAGGAAAGAATCTCAGAGCTTGAAGACCAGGTCTTTCAATCAACTCAGTCAAACAAAAATTAAGAAAAAATAATTTTAAAAAATAAACAAAATATCCAAGAGATATGGGATTATGTTAAGAGACTAAATCTATGACTCATTGGCATTCTGAGTGAGAAGAGAGAAAAAGCAATTTGAAAAATATATTTGATGATATAGTCCACAAAAGCTTCTCCAATCTCACTTGAGATTAAAGAAACACCTTCATTAAGAAATTATAAAGGTCTCAAATTAGCAATCTAACTTAGCACCTAAAGGAAGTAGAAAAACAAAAATAAACCAACACAAAGCTAGCAGAAGAAAAAAATAATTGAAATTAGAGAAAAACTGAGTGAAATTGAGATGCAAAAATCCATTCAAAAGATGAAAGAGGTTTTTTTTTTTTTTTTTCAGAAGAATGAACAAGATCGGTAGAGTGCTAGCTAGATTAACATAGAAAAAGGAAGAGAAGATAGAAGTACGAGCAGAAATGACAAAGATGGCATTACAGCTGATCCTATAGGAAAAAAAAAAAGATTCCCAGACACTACTATAAAGAAGTATGCACACAAATTAGAAAATCTAGAGCAAATTGATAAATTCCTTGAAACACACATTCTCCCAAGATCGAATCAGGAAGAGATTGAAACTCTGAATAGACAAATATGGAGTTCTGAAGTTGAATCAGTAATAAAAATCCTAACAACCAAAAAGAAAATCCCTAGACCATATGGATTCATAGCCAAATTCTACCAGATGTACAAAGAAAATCTGATATCGATCCCACTGAAACTATTCCAAAATATTGAAGAGAATGGGCTTCTTCCTAACCCATTCTATGAAGCCAACATCAGCTTGATACCAAAACCTGGAAGAGGAACAATGCAAAAAGAAAGCTTTAGATCAATATCCTTGAAGAACATGGATGCGAAAATCCTCAACAAAATACTAGCAAATCAAACCAAGGAATATATTAATAAAATTAATTCACCACAATCAAGTATGCTGTATTCCTGGGATACAGGCCTGGTTCAACATATGCAAATCAGTAAATGTGATGCACCACCTAAATGGAATCAAAAGCAAAAACCATATGATTCCAATAGACATGGAAAAAGCATACAATAAAATCCATCATCTCCTTATGATAAAAAAAAACCTCTTAACAAACTAGACACCAAAGTAGCATACCTCAAAATAATAACAGGACATCTATGACAAATCCATAGTCAACATCAGATTGAATAGACAAAAGCTGGAAGTATTCACTTTGAGAGATGGAACAAGACAAGGATGCCCTCTCTCACCACTCCTATTCAACATAGTACTGGAAGTCCTAGCCAAAGCAATCAAGAAAGAGAGGAAAATAAAAGGCATCCAAATAGGAAAAGAAGTAAATTTATTTCTCTTTGCTCATGGTATGATTCTGTGAAAGGCTCAAAAGACTCTGTGAAAGGCTCCTAGAACTGATAAATGACTACAGTAAAGTTTCAGGATACAAAATCAATGTACAAAAATCAGTATCATTTATATATATATCAATAATGTACAGACTGAGAGTAAATCAAGAAAATAATCCAATTTACAATTGCCACAAGTAAAATGAAATACCTAGGACTACATCTCAACAAGGAGGTGGAAGATCTCTATGAGAAAAACTGTTGATGAAAGAAATCAGAGGTGACACAAACAAATAACAAACATTATATGCTCATGGATTGGAAGAATAAATACTGTTTAAATGGTCTTACTGCCAAAAGAAATTCATATATAAGTGCCAACTTCAAACTATACTATAAGCCTACAGTAATCAAAACAGCAAGTTATGGGTAAAAAAGTAAAAAAAAAAAAAAAAAGAAGAAGAAGAAAAGAAAAAGTAGGCACATAGACCAGTGGAGCAAGACAGAGAACCTAGAAATAAAGCCGCACATCTCCAGCCATGTGATCTTCAAGAAAGTCAACAAAAAACAAAGAGAAAAGGACTCAGTATTTAATAAGTGCTGTTGGGATAACTGGACAGCTGTATGCAGAAGAATGAAACTGGTCTCTGCCTTTTACTGTACATAAAAATTAACTCAAGATGGGTTAAAGATTTAAAAATTAACTCAAGATGGGTTAAAGATTTAAATGAAAGACGTCAAACTATATGAATCCTAAAAGAAACCTAGCAAACACCATTCTAGACATTGGACTTGGGAAAGAATTTATGACCAATTCCTCAAAAGCGATTGCAACAAAAATAAAAACTGATATGTGGGACCTAATTAAACTAAAAAGTTTCTGCCTAACAAAAGAAACTATCAACAGAGTAAACAGATAACTTACAGAATGGGAGAAAATGTTCACAAACTATACATCTGACAAAGGTCTCATATCCAAAATCAATAAAGATCTTAAACAAATCAACAAGAAAAAAAAGTAATCCCATTAAAAATGGATCAAGTATGTGAAAAGACTTTACCTCTCAAAAGAAGACATATAAGTGAGCAATAAACATGAAAAAATGCTCAATATCACTAATTATTAGAGAAAGGCAAATCAAAACCACAATGAGATGCCATCACACACTATCAGATTGGCTACTATTAAACAGTCAAAATATAACAGAGCTGGTGAGGCTGCAGGGAAAAGGGAACACATACACCATTAGTGGCAATGTAAATTAGTTCAGCCACTGTGGAAAACAATTTGGAGATTTCTCCTAAAACATGAAACAGATCTACCATTAGAACCAGCAATCCCAGTACTGGGTATGTACCCAAAAGGAAATAAATCACTCTCCAAAAAGGCACATCACTTGCATGTTCATCATAGCACTATTTACAATAACCAAAGACATGAAATCAACCTAGGTGCCCATCAACAGTGATTTGAAAAAAGAAAAATGTGTTACATATGCATACGGAAATACTGGGCAGCCATAAAAATAGAATGAAATAATGTCTTTTGCAGCTGTAGTCCTTTATCCTAAGCAAATTAGCACCAGAACAGGAAACCAAGTACCACATGTTCTTACTTATAAATGGGAGCTAAATATGAAGCACACATCTACATAGATATGGAAACAATAAACAATGTGTAACAGTAAGCGTATGGAGTAAGGAGAGGGCTGTGGGTTGAAAAACTACATATTGGGCTCTATCCTTACTAACTTTGTGATGAGATCTGTACCCCAAATCTCAGCACCACACAATATACCCATGTAACAATCCTGCCAATATTCCCCCTGAATGTAAAATAAAAGTTGAGAGGGCAGAGCAGGGTGTTAGAGTAAAAGCCTAAACCTTTCATCTGCCCAACAGGAACACCAAATTTTAACAAGTATCTGCACACCGAAAAACATAGTCACAAGAACCCAAAATCAGGTGAGCAGTCACAGTACCTGGTTTTAACTTCATATTGCTGAAAGGGGCATTGAAGAGGGTAGGAGATATTCTTAAATTGCCAGAGGCACCCCTCTGCCATCCCTCTGCAGCAGCCATGCAATGCAAAGAGTCTAAGCACTTGGGAAAGGTAGAGTGCAGTGACCGGGAGACTTAACATTTTAACTCAGTGCTGCCTTGTCACGCTGTAGAGCAAAGTTATGCTGGGCTCAGCCAGCAAAGACACATGGAAGAAGCATTTGGACCAGATCTAGCCAGAGGGGAATCATCCATTCCAGCAGTCAGAACTTGAGTTTCTCAGAAAGTATCACCACCCTTACTTAGCTCCTGAATTGAAGTGCTCTCAGGATCTAAGTAAATTTCAAAGGCAGTCTAGGACAAAAGGACTTGAATTCCTCATGCTTAGCTGGTCTCAGAGCCAGAGGAGGGCCAGGCCATGCAGCTCACAACAATGAATGTGACTTCTTCCTTCTGCTTAAGGAGAAAAAAGCAAGAGTCAAGAGGACAATGTCTTGTATCTTGGATACCAGCTCCACCACCATATGATAGGGCACCATGCAGAGTTGTGAGACCCCAATTCCAGGCTCTAGCTCATGGATGTTGTTTACAGACACACCCTGCACCAAAAGGGAACCCACTGTCTTGAAGGGCAGAACCCAATCCTAGCATAATTCATCATCTGCTGACTAAAGAGACCTTGAGCCCTGAATAACCAGCAATGGACCCTGAATAATCAGCATACCCAGGGAGTATGCTGTGTACCTTGAGCCCTGAAAGTTGCCAACTTCAGTTGTAACCCAGCACATTCCCAGCTATGGTGGCTATGGTGAGAGACTCCTGTTTGTATCTCTGGGTATACCCTGTATACCTCCTATTTGTATCTCTGGATATATCCTGTTTGTACCTCTGGATACAAAGAGGATCGCTGGATCCTCCAAGGACCTACAGGAACTAATCTTCCTGAATGAAAGATCAGAAATCTGGATGGCTTAGCTACTAGTTGATCACACAGGCCTAGGGCATTGAGTAAACATACATGGTAGTGGTTACATTGGGCTGTGGGTGACAGCCAGTGCTATGCTGGCTTCAGGTCTGACCCAGCACAATCCCAGTGGTGGTGGCCCCAGGGATGCCTGCATCACCATCACCAGTTCCAGATGGCTCAGCATAGAGAGAGAGACTCTATTCGTGTGGGAGAAAGTAAGAGAAAAGAACAAGAGTCTCTGCCTGATAATTTAGAGAACGCTTCTGGATCTTATCCAAGACCACCATGGCATTATCTCTATAAGTCTACAAAAACCACAGCTTTATTGAACTTGGGGCTGACGTCCCTTCAAACAAATTGAAAGCCTTCTCAGGAAGGACAGGTACAAACAAGCCCAGACTACAAAGACAACAGTAAGTAACTAACTCTTCAATGCCTGGACATGGATGAACATCTACAAGCATCAAAGTTACCCAGGAAAACATGACTTCATCGAATAATAAATTACCAGGGAAAAATCCTGGAAAGACAGAAATAGGTGACCTTTCAGACAGATAATTCAAAAGAGTTGTGTTAAGGAAAATAAAAAAAAATTCAAGATAACACAGAGAAGAAATTTGGAATCCCATCAGATAAATTTAACAAAGAGATTGATATAATTAAAAATAATCAAACAAATTCTAGAGTTGAAAAATGCAATTAACATACTAAAGAATGCATCACGGTCTCTTAATAGTAGAATTGATGAAGCAAAAGCAAGAATTAGTGAGCTTGAAGACAGGCTATTTGAAAATACACAATCAGAGGAGACAAAAGAAAAAATTTAAAAAATGAAGCACACCTACAGAATCTAGAAAACAGCCTCAAAAGGTAAATCTAAGAGTTATTGGCCTTAAAGAGGAGGCAGAGAAAGAGACAGAGGTAGAAAGTTTATTCAAAGAGATAATATCAGAGAACTTCCCAAACCTAGGTAAAGATATCAAAATCCAAATAAAAGAAAGGTATAGAACCCCAAGCAGATTTAACCCAAAGAAGACTACCTCAAGGCATTTAATAATCAAACTCCCAAAGGTCAAGGATGAAGAAAGGATTATAAAAACAGTATAAGAAAAGAAACAAAGCACATACACCGGAAAGCTTCAATACAACTGGCAGCACACATTTCAGTGGAAACCTTACAGGCCAGGAGAGAGTGGGACGACATATATGAAGTGCTGGGAAAAGGAAACCCTACCCTAGAATAGTATATCCAACAAAAAATTTCCTCAAGCATGAAGAAGATACAAAGACCTTTTCAGAAAAATAAAGGCTGAAGGATTTTGTCAACAGGACAAGTCTAGACCTAGTTCTTATAGGACTAGACTTGTCCTATAAGAAATGCTAAAAGGAGTTATTCAATCTGAAAGAAAGGGACGTTAATGAGGAAGAAGAAATTATGTGAAGGTACAAAACTCACTGGTAAAAGTAAGCACACAGAAAAACAAATGTTATAGTGCTGTAATCATGGTGTATAAACTACTCATGTTAAGTAGAAAGACTAAAAAATGACAAATCAAAAATAATAACTACAACAACTTTTTAAGACATAATCCAATAAGATATAAAGAGAAAGAAAAAGCTAAAAGATGAGAAAATAAAGTGTAGAGTTATTATTTTCTTTTTGCATGATTCTTTGTTTCTTTGTTTATGCAATCACTGTTGTCATCAGTTTAAAACAATGGGTTATGAGATAGTATTTACAAGCCTTATGGTAACCTAAGATAAAAAAACATACATATCTGTGATAAATATTGAAGCAAAAATACTCAACAAAATACTAGCAAACTGAATTTAACAATACATTAAGAAGATCATTCATCATGACCAAGAGGAATATATCCCTGGGATGCAAGAATGTTTCAACATACACAAATCGATGTAACATGTCATATCAACAGAATTAAGGACAAAAACCATACAATCATTTCAACTGATGCTGAAAAAGCATTTGATAAAATTCAATATCCTATAATGATAAAAGCCCTAAAAAAACTGAGTGTAGGAGGAACATACCTCAACATAATGAAAGCCATGTATGATAGATTCATAATTAATATTATATGGAATAGGGAAAAACTGAAAGCCTTTCCCCTAAGATCTAGAACACAAATATGCCCGCATTCATCACTGTTATTCAACATAGTATTGGAAGTCTAAGCTAGAGGAATCAGACAAGAGAAAGAAAGGGAATCAAAATTGGAAAAGTGAAATTATCCTTGTTTGAAGATGATACGATCTTCTATTTGAATAAACCTAAAGACTCAATTTAAAAACTATTAGCACTGAAAAAAAATTCAGTAAACTTGCAGGATACAAAATCAACATACAAAAATCAGTAGCATTTCTATATTCCAACAGTGAACTTCTGAAAAAGAAATTTTAAAAGTAATTTCTTTTACAAAAGCCGCAAATAAAATTAAACACCTAGGAATTAATTACAGAAGTAAAAGATCTCTATAATTAAGATTATAAAACACTAATGAAAGAAATTTAAGAGAACACAAAAAATATGGAAAGCTATTTCATGTTCATGGATTCAATAACTATATTGTTAAAATGTCCATACTACCTGTATTATGTCATTCTTGTATTGGTATAAATCTTTGAGACTGGGTAATTTATAAAGAAAAGAGGTTTAATTGGCTCATGATTATGCAGGCTTTAGAGGAAACATAGCACTGACGTTACTGGGCTTCTGGGGAGCTGCAGGGAACTTTTACTTATGGCAGAAGGTGAAGCAGGAGCAGGCATCTCACGTGGCAAAAGCAGGAACAAGACAGGGGGAGGTACCACACTTTAAAACAACCAGTTTCCAAGAGAACTCACTCACTATCACAAGGACAGCACCAAGCCATGAGGGATCCACCCTCATGACCAAAACACCTCCCACCAGGCCCCACCTCCAGCATTGGGAATTATAATTCAACATGAGATTTTGTCAGGGACAAATATCTAAACTATATCACTCTGTTCCTGCTACCCCACCAATCTTATGTTCTTCTCACATTGAAAAATACAATTATACTTTCCCAACAGTTGCCTAAAGTCTTAAATCATTCCAGCATTAACTCAAAAGTCCCAGGTCCAAGTCCAAACTCTCATCTGAGACACATCTCCTATCTGTGATCCTGTAAAGTCAAAACAAGTTATTTATTCTAAGATACAATGGGGTTATAAGCATTCCCATTCCAAAATGGAGAAGTCAGCCCAAAGGGGCTTATGCAAGTTCAAAACTCAGCAGGGCTGTCATTAAATTTTAAAACTCCAGAATAATATCCTTTGACTACATATCCCATATCCAGGGCAGACTAATGCAAGAAATGGGCTCCCAAGACCTTGGGAAGCTCTGCCCCAGTGGCTTTGGAGGGTTCAGCCCCAATACATGCTCTCACAGGTTGTCGAGTGGCTGCAGCTTTTCCACACTGAGGGTACAAACTGGTGGTGGATCTACCATTCTGGGGTCTGGATCACAGTGGCCCCCTTCTGACAGCTCCACTATGCAATGTCCCAATGAAGATTCTGTGCAGGGGCTCCAACCTCACATTTCTCTTCTGCACTGCCTTAGTAGAGGTTATTTTTGAGGGCTCTGTCCCTGCAGCAGGCTTTTGCCTGAATACCCAGGCTTTTCCATACATCATCTGAAATCTAAGCACAAGGTGCCAATCCTCCACCACTCTTGCACTCTGTGCACCTGCAGGCTTAACACCATGTGGAAACTGCCAAGGTGTATGGCTTTGGCCCTCTAGAGTGGCAGTCCAAGTGTAACTAGGACCCTTGGAGCCACAGCTGAAGCTGTAGCATATGGGATACAGGGAACAGCATCCCAAGACTACACAGTGCAGTGTGGCCCTGGGCCTGACCTAGAAAACCATTCTTTTCTCCTAAGCCTCTGGGCCTGTGATGGGAGGGGCTGCTGTGAAAGTCTCTGAAATGCCTTTGAGGCCCTTTCCCCAATGTCTTGGATATTAGCACTTGGTTCCCTTTTAATTATGCAAACATCTCTAGCTAGTTGTTCCTCCTTAGCCTGCTTGAATTTCTCTTCTGAAAAATCTTTTTCTTTTTTTGAAACATGGCCAGGTTGCAAATTTTCTGAACTTTTATGCTCTGCTTCCTTTGTATATTCCAACTTTAAGTAATTTATTTGCTTCTGCATCTGAGTCCAGAATGTTAGAAGTAACCAGGCCACATCTTGAATTCTTTGCTGCTATAAAATTTCTTCCACCAGATACCGTAAGTCATCACTCTCAAGCTCAAACTTTCATGGATCCCTAGGGCATAAATAGAATGCAGCCAAGTTCTTTGCTAAGGCATAACACAAGTAATCTTTTCTCCAGTTCCCAATAAGTTATTCACTTCCATGTGAGACCTTAACAGCCTAGCCTTCACTGTCCATATCACAATCAGCATGTTGATCACAACCATTTAACCAGTGTCTAAGAAATTCCAAACTTTCCCTCATCTCCCTGTCTTCTTCTAGGCCCTCCAAATTCTTCCAACCAACCTCTTCTCATGACCCGATTCCAAAGTTGCTTCCACATTTTCAGGTATCTTTATAGCAATGCCCTGCCCCTTGGTACCAATTTTCTTTATTAGGACATTCTTGCACTGCTATGAATAAATTCCTGAGACTGGGTAATTTATAAAGGAAAGAGGTTTAATTGGCTCATGGTTCTGCAGGCTGCACATGAAGCATGATGCCAACATTTGCTCACCTTCTAAGGAAGCCTCTGGGAGATTTTACTCATGGCACAAGATAAAACAGGAGCAGGCACTTCACTTAGAGAAAGCAAGAGCAAGAGAAATAGTGGGGATGGAGGTGCCACACTCTACAACAACCAGATCTCAAGAGAACGCACTCACTATCAGGAGGATAACACCCCAGCCATGAGGGATCCGGCTCCATAATCCAAACACCTCCTACTAGGCCTCATCTCTAACATTGAGAATTATAATTTAGCATATGATTTAGGCAGAGACAAACATCAAAACTATATCACTATCTGAAGCAATCTACAGATTCAATACAATCATTATCAAAATACCAATGACATTCTTCACAGAAATAGAAGAAACAATCCTAAACATTCTGTGGAACCATGAAAAACCCAGAATAGCAAAAGCTGTCCTAAGCAAAAAGAACAAAACTGGAGAAATCACATTACCTGACTAAATTATGCTACAGAACTATAGTAAACACAATAGCATGGTACTGGCATAAAAACAGATACATAGACCAAATTAACAGGTTAGAGAACCCAAAAACAAATCCACACACCTACAGTGAACTCATTTTTGACAAAGATGCAAAGCATCTGTGAAGATTGTCTCTCCAGTAACCAATGTTGGGAAAACTGGATATCCATGTGCAGAAGAATGAAGCTAGACCCCTATCTTTTTTCCATCCACAAAAATCAAATAAAAAAATAGACTAAAACCTTAAATCTGAGACCTCAAACTATTAAACCACTTAAACAAAAAATTGGGGGAAAATCTCCAGGACATTTGACTGGGCAAAAATTTCTTGAGTAATACCCCAAAAACACAGACAACTAAAGCAAAAATGGACAAATGGGACCACATCAAGGTAAAAATCTTCTGCACAGCAAAGGATACAATCAACAAAGTGAAGAGACAATCTACCAAATTGAAGAAAATATTTGCAAACTACCTACCTAAGGGATTTAAAACCAGAATATATAGGGAGCTCAAACAACCCTATAGGAAAAAATCTATTGAACCAATTTAAAAATGGGTAAAATACTTGAAGACATTTCTCAAAAGAAGACATACAAATGGCAAACAGGCATATGAAAAGGTGTTCAACATCACTGATAATCAGAAAAATGCAAATCAAAACTACAATGAGATATCATCTCTATCAGGGGAATCCGCCCCAATATTTCAATGTAGGTTCTTTCTATTTTCCCTAAATGTCAGCCAGTCTGAGAAATAAAGAGAAAGGATACAAAGAGAGGAATTTTACAGCTGGGCTCCCGGGGATGACATCACATATCGGTAGGACCATGATGCCCACCTGAGCCGCAAAACCAGCAAGTTTTTATTAGGGATTTCAAAAGGGGAGGGGATGTATGAACAGGGAGTAGGTCACATGCTTCAAGGGGCAAAAGGCAGAGCAAAGATCGCATGCTTCTGAGGAAACAGGACCAGGGCAAAATCGGAAACTCCTGATAAGGTTCTGTGTTCAGCGGTGCACGTATTGTCTTGATAAACATCTTAACAGAAAACAGGGTTTGAGAGCAGAGAACTGGTCTGACCTCAAATTTACCAGGGCTGAGATTTCCCAATCCTAGTAAGCCTGAGGGAGGGTACTGCAGGAGACCAGGGCGTATCTCAGTCCTTATCTCAACCACATAGGACAGACACTCCTAGAGCGGCTGTTTATAGACCTCCCCTCAGGAACGCAATTCTTTTCCTAGGGTCTTAATATTATATTCCTTGCTAGGAAAAGAATTTAGCAATATCTCTCCTACTTGCACAACTGATATAGGCTCTCTGCAAGTAGAAAAATATGGCTGTTTTTGCCCGACCCCGCAGGCAGTCAGACCTTATGGTTGTCTTCCCTTGTTCCCTAAAATTACTATTATTCTGTTCATTTTCAAGGTGCACTGATTTCATATTGTTCAAACACACGTTTTACAATCAATTTGTACAGTTAATGCAATCATCACAGGGTCCTGAGGTGAGGTACATCCTCAGCTTATGAAGATAACAGGATTAAAAGATTAAAGTAAGGACAGGCATAAGAAATTATAAAAGTATTCTTTGGGAACTGATAAATGTCCAGGAAATCTTCACAATTTATGTTCAGAAATTGCAGTAAAGATAGGCATAAGAAATTATAAAAGTATTAATTTGGGGAACTAATAAATGTCCATGAAATCTTCACAATTTATGTTCCTCTGCCGCAGCTCTAACTGCTCCCTCCATTCAGGGTCCATGACTTCCCGCAACACATCTCACCCCAGTTAAAGTGGCTTATATCCAAAAAACAGATGATAACACATGCTAGGGAGGATGTGGAGAATACACAAGCCTCATATACTGTTGATGGAAATGTAAATTTGTACAACCACTGTGTAGAACATTTTGGAGGTTCTTCACAAAACTAAAAACAGAGCTACCGTATGATCCAGCAATCTGACTGCTGGATATGTACACAAAAGAGTGGAAATCAGTATACTGAAGAGATAGCTGCACTTGCATGTTTGTTGTAGCACTATTTACAGTAGCCAGGATTTGGAAGCAACGTTGAAGTGCTGAACTGTCCACTTGACCTTGAAGTGTTGAAGTGTCCATTAACAGATGAATGGGTAAAGAAAATGTGGTATTTATACACAATTGAATACTATTTAACCATAAAGAAGAATGAGATCCCGTCATTTATAGCAAAATGGGTGGAACTGGATATCATTATGTTAAGTGAAATAAGCAAGGCATAGAAAGGCAAACATCACATGTTCTCATTTATTTGTAGGATCTAAAAATTAAAAGAATTAAGCTCATGGAGACAGAGTGCAGAACAAAGGTTTCCAGCAGACAGGAAGGGTGGTAGGGAAGGTTGTAAGGGAGAGGTAGGGATGGTTCATAGGTACAAAAAAATAGAAGAATGAACAAGACCTAGTATTTGATAGCACAACAGATTAGTATGGTAAACAATAATTTTGTATTCCATGTTAAAATAACAAAAAAAAAGTAACTGGATTGTTTGTAACACAAAAGATAAATGTTCAAGGGTATGGATACCCCATTTTCCATGATGTGATTTTATACATTGCATGCCTGTATCAAGATATATGTACCCCATGAATATATACACCTACTATGCACCCACAACAATTAAAATTTAACATAAAGTAAAAGTTGAAGTTTAAGCAAATTTTTTAAACAAGAAAATACCTGAAGAGAAACATTAACAAAAACACCACACACCAATATTTTTGGAATACAGCAAAAGCAGTATTATTCTGCTCAGGCTTCTATAACAAAATTCCATAAACTTTGTTGCTTGTAAGCAATAGAAATATATTTACCCAAATTCTGGAGGCTGGAAAGGTCGAGCTCAAGGCACTGGGAAAATCTGTATCTGGTGAGGGCCCTTTTCCTAGGTCATAGATGGCACCTTCTCCTTATGGCCTTACTTTAAGGAAGGAAAGAATTTTGATTCCTTCAGCCCTTAAAAGAACAGTAATCCCATTCATGAGGTCTCCACCTTCATGATCTAATTATCTGCGAAATGTCCTACTTCCTAATACCATCACGCTAGAAATTAGGTTTCAATATATAAACTTTGAGGGACACAAACATTCAGGCCATAGAAAATACGGATGGAAGTTTATTATAATAAATACTTACATTTTAAAAACAAGAAATATCTCAAGTAAACCACCTAAATATACTCTTCAGGGATCTAGAAAAAAGAAAAGCTAAGCCCAAAATTAGCAGAAGGGAGAAAATTTAAAAACGATTTGAGCAGAAATAAATAACATAAAAAAACAGAAAAACAATAAAAATTTATGAAATTTGGAGTTGGTTTTTTTGAGAAGATGCGCAAGACAAGCCATGAACTAAACTAAGAAAAAGAGAGAAGACAGTATTAAATAAAATAAGAAGTGAAAAAGAAAACATTACAACTGATACCACAGAAATAAAAAGAACCAGGATCAGTTATGAACCATTACACACAAACAAGCTAGATAACCAAAAAGTAGTGAATAATTCCCTAGAAGCATACGGCATATCACAATAGATAATAAAGAGACAGAAAGTCTGAGCAGATCTATAACAAGATTGAATCAGTGATTTAAAATATTCCAACAAATAACAGCCCAGAACTAGATATCTTCAAAAGTAAATTCTATCAAACATTTAAAAAACAACAAATGGTATCCTTTTCAAACTCTTCTAAAATACTGAAGGGAAGGAAACTCTCCCAAAATCATTTTATGAAGCCATACAAGGATACCACAAGAAAAGAAGCTACAGGCCAATATTCCTGGTGAAAACAGATGTAAGAAAGCTTCAACAAAATACTAGCAAACCAAATCCAATAGCATATAAAGGATAATACACCATGACAAAGTGTATATACTCATCCCAGGATAAATCTCTTGGAATGCAAGCCCATTTCAACATACAAAAAACAATTAATATGATAAACCTCATTAAGAAAATAAAAGATAAAATCACATGATCATCTCTATAGATGCAGGAAAAGCATTTGATAAAATTTAATAATTTTTCGTGATAAAATTCTCAACAAACTAAGAATAGAAGAAAATTACCATAATGTAATAAAGGCCATATATGAAAACCCACAGCGAGCCTTATATTCAGTAGTGAAAAGCTAAAAGATTTTTAGAGACAAAAAGAATAAAAGTCTTAGGCATAAACCTAACTTAGAAATACTTTTATACTAGAAACTACAAAACACTGGTGAAAGAAACTGTAGAAGACACGACAAATGAAAAGCCATTACGTGTTCAAGAATTGAAAGACTTAATATTGTTAAAATGTTCACTGGTACAAAAACAGGTGCATAGGCCAATGGAATAGAATAGAGAGCCCAGAAATAAGGCCACATGCCTACAACCATCTGATTTTTTAACAAAGCTGACAAAAAAAAAAAAAAAGCAATGAGGGAAAGACTCCCTATTCAATAAATGGTGCTGGGATAGCTGGCTAACCACATACAGAAGACTGAAACTGGAGCCCTTCCTTGTACCTTATACAAAAATCAATGCAACATGAATTAGACTTAAACATAAAACCCAAAACTATAAAAACCATGGAAGGCAACCTAGGCAATACCATCATGAACATAGGTACAGGCAAAGATTTCATGACAAAGACACCAAAAGCAATCCCAATGAAAGGAAAAATGGACAAATAGTATATGCTTAAACTAAAGAGCTTCGTACAGCAAAAGCAACTTCTTTTGTACATCAAAAGAAACTGTCAACAGAGTAAACAGACAACCTACAGAATGGGAAAATGTATTTGCAAACTATATATCTGACAAAGGTCTAATACCCAGCATCTATAAGGAACTTAAACAGATTTACAAGCAACAAACAACCCCACTAAAAAGCGGGAAAAGGACATGAACACATTTCAAATGAACACTTTTCAACAAGCATACAACAAAAAGCTCAATATCACTGATCATTAGAGAAATGTAAATCAAAACCACAATGATATATCATCTCACACCAGTCAGAATGGCTATTACTAAAAAGTCAAAAAATAAAAGATGCTGGCAAGGTTATGGAGAAAAGAAACACTTATACACTGTTGGTGGGAGTGTAAATTAGTTCATCCATTGTGGAAGACAGTGTGATGATTCCCCAAAGAGCTAAAAGCAGAACCACCATTCGACCAAGCAATCCCATTACTGAGTATAAACCCAGAGGAACATAAATCATTCTACCATAAAGACACATGCATGTAAATGTTCGTTGCAGCACTATTCACAATAGCTAACATATGGAAACAACCTAAATGTCCATCAACATATGAATGAATAAAGAAAATGTGGTACATATACACCATAGAATACTATGTAGCCATAAAAAAGAATGAGATCATGTCTTTTGTGAGAATATGGATGGAGCTGGAGGTGATCATCCTCAGTAAACTAATGTAGGAAATGAAAACCAAATACCACATGTTTTCATGAGAGCTAAATGATGAGAACTTATAAACACAAAGAAACAACAGACACTGGGATCTACTTGAGGGTGCAGGCTGGGAGGAGGGAGAGGAGCAGAAAAGATAATTATTGGGACTGGACTTAATTCCTGGATGATAAAATAATCTGTATAACAAACCCCTGTGACATGAGTTTATCTAGGTAACAAACTTTCACATGTACCCCAAACCTGAAATGAAAGTTTAAAAAGATGTTTATAGCACCTAGAGCAATCTACAGATTAAATGTAATATCTGTCAAAATCCCCAATGGTATTTTTTACATAAATAGAAAAAAAATTCTACAATTCATATGGAAACACAAAAGACCCTGACAAAGAAAAACAAAACTGGAGGCATTACACTTCTTGATTTCAAAATATATGACAAAGCTCCAATAATTAAAACAGAATCATACAGGCATAAAGATAGACATGCAGACCAACAAAAGAGAATAAAAAGCCCAGAAATAAATCCACATATATGTGGTCAACTGATTTTTAACAAGAGTACCAAGAACACATAATGAGAAAAGTTGAATATCTTTGAAAAATTATGCTGAGAAAACTGGATATCCACATGCAAAAGAATGATATTGGACCTTTATCTTACACCACATACAAAAACCAACTCAAAATGGATTAAAGATGAACCTAAGACCCAAAATTATGAAACAGAGAAAAAGCTTCATGACTTTTGTCTTGGCAATGATTTCATGGATAGAACACCAAAAGTATAAGAAACAAAAACAAAGACATGTTAACTATATCAAGCTAATAAACTTCTGCACAGAAAGCAACAATTAACAGAGTGACAAGGCTCCCTATGGAATGGGAGAAAATATTTGCAAACCATATACCTAATAAAGGTTTATCTCCACAATATATAAGGAAATCCTACAACTCAATAGTTATACACACACACACACACACACACACACACACACATATATATATACCTAATTGTAAAATAAGCTAAGATCTTGAGTAGATATTTTCTTTTTCTTTTTTTTTTTTTTTTTGAGATGGAGTGTCGCTCTGTCGCCCAGGCTGGAGTGCAGTGGCGCAATCTCGGCTCACTGCAAGCTCCGCCTCCCAGGTTCACGCCGTTCTCCTGCCTCAGCCTCCCGAGTAGCTGGGACTACAGGCGCCCGCCACCACCCCCGGCTAATGTTTGTATTTTTAGTAGAGACGGGGTTTCATCGTGTTAGCCAGGATGGTCTGGATCTCCTGACCTCGTGATCTGCCCGCCTTGGCCTCCCAAAGTGCTGGGATTACTGAGTAGATATTTTCAAAAGAAAACATACAAATAGTCAACAGTTATATGAAGAGGTGCTTAACATCACTAATCATCAGAAAAACACAAATCAAAACTACAATGAGATATCACCTCAAACTGTGGCTGACTGTGGTCTCAATTACTTGAGACCGTCACTACAACAGTTACTACTGTCACTACTTGAGACCGTCATTACAAGATGAATGAAGGGACAAATGTAGAAATAACAACAACAACAAAGAAACAAAAGAAACTGTTTTAAAGGAAGGGGGACCTAGGAAGAAGAAAATAGCTCCCCGCTTCTAGTGAGCAAAGGCAGCCACCGCCCTGAGCTTCTTCAGCCCTTCATTTTTATTGGGTAGAAAGAGCAGAGAGGAGGAGCTAATGGGTGGTCAGCTGCTTGATTGATCACAGGTTCATATTATTATTAACAGGTTTCAGATTTGCCTAATCACAAGAAACACTTGTCTGGGGTGAGACTGCCCTCAGCATTCCTTCTGGGTGGCAGATGCAGTTTGTCGATCTGCCAACATTCTGCATTTATGACAAACAGTTTGCTGCTTACTCATATAGCCTCCAGTGATATACTGAGTTGATCACAACCCTCAATCTTTCTACCTCCAACATCAAACGTGTCATTATGGCTATTATACAAACAACCAAACAAAAGACATCCATGAGGATGTGGAGAAATTGCCACTCCTGCATATTGTTGGTGGGAATACAAAATGGTGCAGCCATCGTGGAAAACAGTGTGGAAGTTCCTCAAAATATTAACAATGGGATTTCCACAAGATTGAATGATCCCATAACTGGATATTCATCCAAAATGATTAAAATCAGTATTCCAATAACATATTAGCATTCCCATGTTTGTTGGAGCAGTATTCACAATACCTAAGATATAGAAACAACCTAAATTTCCATCAACATATGAATGGATAAAGAAAATGTGTTACAAACAAACAATGGAATACTATTCAGCCTTAAGAAAAAGAAGGAAATTTTGCAATATGCAACAAATGAATGAACTTTAGGACATTAGGCTAGGGAAATAACCCAGGCACAGAAAGAAAAATGCTGCATGATTCTACTTACATTAGATATTTAAAATAGTCAAATCAGAGTGAAATGGTACCTGCCAGAGGCTAAAATAGTAAGAAATGGGTAACTAATCAACAGGCATAAAGTTCAGCTAAGTAGGATGAATAAGCTCTAGACACCTGCTGTAGAACACTGTACCAACAGTCAACAAAAATGCATTGTACATTTAAAAATGTGTTAAGAGCACAGATCTCATGTTAAGTGTTCTTAGAACAATGAATTAAAAAGAATTACTAATAGCACTAAAGAGAAACCTCATAGATACAAATAATTACAAATGAGAAAAATAATGTTTAAAGCTATGAAATATCTTGTCTAAGATATACTAAGAAATATAATTTATCTAAAGAGACTGAACATTTGCAATCTTTTTACAGAACTGGAATAACTTTTAATTAATTCTAATGCCTCATCCAGAGAGTTCACATTGTCTAAGTTTCACATCCATACTTTTAAAAGCAGTCATGAAAGATGTCATAATCTGTGAGTTTTTAGAACAAAAGGGTGCGTGTGTAAATGATCTAAATATGGGAATCACTTCTAATCTGGCATCTATTTTCAAAATTTCAGTAAAAAGAGGCCTTTGTGCCAACTGTACTGGTTAAAATTAAATAACATAAAATAAGAAAGTCTCTTTTAAATGTTGAGAAATCTGGCAAATATTTCTAGTGAGTCATAACAATTGGGTGTGAATATTGCCAATGATTCACAAATGGTAAAGGCTTTAGGGTGTAATGCCAGATGGATAAATAAGTGGAAAGTAGTAAAACTGGCAAAACCATAAATGATAATAGCTTTGATAATTATGTCCAGAAATAGAATCTTGCCCTGGGATTACAGATTGTTACATAGCACTCATAACATTTTGGAGGCATTGTCTACTGAGATGTGTATTATAGGAGAAATCACAATCACATAATCTAAAACTTGAGAGTAGGCATTAAAGCACAGGGAATAATTAAATATTAAAAAGAAAATTATCATGAAAGGAAAATGGGAAAACTGTATAAGAATATCTCTGAAGAAAACATTTTCTGTCATGAAAGTAACAGGTTTACTTTCTTTAGAAAAAAAAAAAGGAATCATAGCTACTGCTGTTTTAGCAGCACCACATAAACCCAAGAAAACTGGGTTTGTTTTAATGAACTACTTTCATATACTGGGAAATTGTGTAAAAAAGTCTACCTGTGGAAAAACTGTAGACTAAGGGCCCAAATTTCAGTGCATCACCTTTTAGTGGTTCTAAGTAAGATAAAATAGCTTAGTAAAAGAAAGCAAGCAATGTAAGAGGCTTTTCAAAGGCAATGTCCAACACCATGTATGGTGTTCAGACAAGATAAAGAAAGCAACTCAATTCCATTTTTTTCAGTGTATCAGAGTAAGTAAGAAAATGGGTTATTGTAAACAATTTTTTGAAAGAAATTTATATACTGTGGTATAATGACAGACAAATAAGCAGAAAGTAAGAAAACCGAGAAATAAAATAAAATTATAGAAAAATAAATCTTATTATTTCTTTATACAATATCACAAACTGCTAAATTTAAGGGAAATTTTCTACCAAATAAAATGTCCAGTATAAAAATATATATATGGTATGATTTTTTTTCTATTTTTATTTTAGGTGCAGGAGTACATGTGCATGTTTGTTATAGGCTAATTGTGTGTCACCGGTGTTTGGTGGACAGATTATCTTGTCACCCAAGATATAAACAGTATATCTTATAGGTAGTTTTTAAATCCTCACACTCCACTAATGCTTCACCCCCAAGTAGGCCCTGGTGTCTGCTGTTCCCTTCTTTGTGTCCATATGTACTCAATGTTTAGCTACTAATTACAAATGAGAACATGTGTTTTTCTGGGTTTTTTTTTTTCTGTGTATTTGTTTTTCTGTTCCTGTGTTAGTTTGCTTAGGATAATGGCCTCCAGCTCCATCCATGTTGCTGCAAAGAACATGATCTCATTCTTTTTTATGGCTGTATAGTATTCCATGGTGTATATGTACCACAATTTCTTTATCCAGTCTACCACTGATGGGCATTTAGGTTGATTTCATGTCTTTGCTGTTATGAATAGTGCTGTGATGAACATACATAAGTGTCTTTATTTCTTTTTTATTTTTTTATTTCCATAGGTTATTGGGGATAAGGTGGTGTTTGGTTACATGAGTAAGTTCTTTGGTGGTGATTTCTGACATTTTGGTGCACCCATCACCTGACCAATATATACTGCACCCAGTTTGTAGTCTTTCATCCCTCACACCCTTCCCACCCTTTCCCCCTGAGTCCCCAAAGTCCACTGTGTCATTCTTTTGTCTTTGCATCTTCATACCTTAGCTCCCACTTATAAATGAGAACATACAATGTTTGGTTTTTCATTCCTGAGTTACTTCACTTAGAACAATAGTCTCCCATTATCATCAAGGTCACTGCAAATGCCATTATTTCATTCCTTTTAGGCTGAGTAGTATTCAATTATGTGTATATATGTGTGTGTTTGTGTGTGTGTGTGTATATATTATATATACATATACATCCTTTATCCACTCATTGATAGACGGGCAATTGGGTTGGTTCCATGTTTTTGCAATTGTGAATTGCGCTGCTATAAACATGCATGTGCAAGTATGTTTTTTGTATAATGACTTATTTTCCTCTGGGTAGATACCCAGTAGTGGGATTGCTGGACCAAATGGTAGTTCTACTTTTAGTTCTTTAAGAAATCTCCACACTGTTTTCCATAGTGGTTGTACTAGTTTACATTCCCAACAGCAGTGTAGAAGTGATCCCTGTTCACCACATCCATGCCAACAGCAGCAGATTTCTCAGCAGAAACCCTACAAGCTAGAAGGAATTGGGGCCCTATCTTCAACTTCCTTAAACAAAATAATTATCAGCCAAGAATTTTTTATTCAGCAAAATGAAGAAAAGATACAGTCTTTTTCAGACAAATGCTGACAGAATTCACCACTGCCAAGCCAGAACTAAAAGAACTGCTAAAAGGAGCTCTAAATCTTGAAACAAATCCTAGAAACACATCAAAACAGAACACTTTTAAAGTATAAATCTCACAGAACTAATAACACAAAAATACAATTTTTAAAAAAAGACAAGGTATACAGGCAACAAATAGGGCAATGAATGGAATGGTACCACGCATCTCAATACTAACATTTAATGTAAATGACCTAAATGCTCCACTTTAAAGATACAGAATTACAGAATGGATAAGAATTCATCAACCAAGTATCTATTGTCTTCAAGAGACTCACCTAACACATGAGGACTCACATAAACTTAATGTAAGTGAATGGAAAAAGATATTCGATGCAAATGGACACCAAATGAGCAGGAGTAGCTATTCTTATCTCAGACAAAACAAACTTTAAAGCAACAGCAGTTAAAAAAGACAAAGAGGGACACTATATTATGATAAAGGGCCTTGTCCAACAGGAAAATATCACAGTACTAAACATATATGCACCTAACGCTGGAGGTCCAAAATTTATAAAACAATTACTAATAGACCTAAGAAATGAGATAGACAGCAACACAATAATAGTGGGGGACTTCAATATGCCACTGACAGCACTAGACAGGTCATCCAGATAGAAAATCAACAAAGAAACAATGGATTTAAACTATACCCAGGAACAAATGGGCTTAACAGATATTTACAGGACATTCTACCCAACAACCGCAGATCAGTGCATGGAACTTTCTTTAAGATAGACCATATGATAGGCCACAAAATGAGACTCAATAAATTTAAGAAAATTGAAATTACATCAAGCACTCTCTCAGACCACAGTGGAATAAAACTGGAAATTAACTCCAAAAGGAACCTTCAAAACCATGCAAATACATGGAAATTAAATAACTCACTCCTGAATGATCGCTGGGGCAAAAATGAAATCCAGATGGAAATTAAAAAGTTTTTCAAACTGAGTAACAGTAGTGACACAACTTATCAAAACTTCTGGGATACAGCAAAGGTGGTGCTAAGAGGCAAGTTCATAGACCTAAACACTTACATCAAAAAGTCTGAGGCCAGGCGCGGTGGTTCATGCCTGTTACCCAGCATTTTGGGAGGCCAAGGCTGGCACATCACCTGAGGTCAGGAGTTTGAGAACAGCCTGACCAACATGGTGAAACCCAGTCTCTACTAAAAATACAAAATTAGCTGAGCATGGTGGCGCATGCCTGTAATCCCAACTACTTGAGAGGCTGAGGCAGGAGAATCGCTTGAACCCTGGAGGCAGAGGTGGCAGTGAGCTGAGATCATGCCATTGCACTCCAGCCTGGGCAACAAGAGTGAAACTCCATCTAAAAAAAAAAAAAAAGCCTGAAAGAGCACAAACAGACAATCTAAGGTCACACCTCAAGGAGCTAGAGAAACAAGAAGAAAGCAACCCCAAACCCAGCAGAAGAAAGGAAATAACCAAGATAAGAACAGAAATAAACGAAATTGAAACAAAAAAATGCAAAATATAAATGAAAAAAAACTGGTTATTTGAAAAGATAAGTAAAATTGATAGACCACTAGCAAGATTAACCAAGAAGAGAGAAAATTCAAATAAGCTCAACAAGAAACGAAATGGGAGATATTACCAATTGACACCATAGAAATACAAAAGATCTTTCAAGGCTACTATGAACAACTTTATACACATAAACTAGAAAATCTAGAAGAGATGGATAAATTCCTCGAAAGATACAACCCTCTTAGCTTAAATCAGGAATTGTTAGATATGCTTAACAAACCAAGAACAAGTAGCAAGATTGAAATGGTAATTAAAAAATCAACAAAAAGAAGTCCAGGACTAGACAGATTCACAGCAGAATTCTACAAGGCATGTGTCTTTATTATAGAACAATCTAGATTCCTCTGAGTATGTACCCAGTAATGAAATTGCTGGGTTGAATGGTATTTCTGTTTTTAACTCTTTGAGGAATCACATACTGCCTTCCACAATGGTTGAACTAATTTTCACTCCCATTAACAGGGTATAAGTGTTCCCTTCTCACCACAACCTAGCCAACATCTATTATCTTTTGACTTTTAATAATAGCCTTTCTGTGTTCAGGGATTTATCCATTTCTTCCAGTGTTTCTAGTTTATTTGCATAGAAGTGTTTATAGTATTCTCTGATGGTAGTTTGTATTTCTGTGGGTCAGTGATGAGATCCCCTTTATCATTTTTTATTGTGTCTATTTGATTCTTCTCTCTTTTCTTCTTTATTAGTCTAGCTAGTGGTTTATGTGTTTTATTAATATATTTTTAAAAACAGCTCCTAGATTCATTGATTTTTTGAAGGGTCTTCGTGTTTCTATCTCCATCAGTTCCATTCTGATCTTGGTTATTTCTTGTCTTCTGCTAGCTTTGGGGTTTGTTTGCCCTTGGTCCTCTAGTTCTTTTAGTTTTGATCTTAGGATCTCAATTTGAGATCTTTCTAGCTTTTTGATATGGGCATTTAGTGCTATAAATTTCCCTCTTAACACTGCTTTAGCTGTGTTCTGGAGATTCTGGTATGTTTTCTCTTTGCTTTTACTGGTTTCAAGGAACTTCTTGATTTCTGGTTTAATTTCAGTACTTACAAAGGAGTCATTCAGGGGCAAGTTGTTCAATTTTCATGTAGTTGTGTGGTTTTGAGTGAGTTTCTTTCTTAGTCTTGAGTTCTAATTTGATTGTGCTGTGGTCTGAGAGACTGTGTTATGATATTCAGTTCTTCTGCATTTGCTGAGAAGTGTTTTACTTCCAATTATGTGATCAATTTTAGAGTAAGTGCCATGCAGTGCTGAAAATAATGTATATGCTATTGTTTGGGGGTGGAGAGTTCTGTAGATACCTATCAGGTCCACTTGATCCAGAGCCAGTTATGAATATCTTTGTTAATTTTCCGTCTCGATGATCTGTGTTATGTTGACAGTGGGGTGTTAAAGTCTCCCACTATTATTGAGTAGAAGTCTACGTTTCTTTGTAGATTTCTAAGAACTTGTTTTATAAATCTGGATGCTCCTGTATTGTGTGCACATATATTTAGGATAGTTAGCCCTTTTTGTTGAATTGAACCCTTTACCATTATGTAATACCCTTCTTTGTCTTTTTTTATCTTTGTTGGTTTAAAGTCTGTTTTGTCAGAAACTAGGATTGAAATCACTGCTTTTTTCTGCTTTCCAATTGCTGGATAAATTTTCCTCCATCTCTTTATTTTGAGCCTATGTGTGTCTTTGCATGTGAGATGGATCTCTTGAATACAGTACATCAATGGGCCTTTTCTTTTTATCTAGCTTGTCACTGTGTGTCTTTTAATTGGGGAATTTAGCCCATCTACATTTAAGGTTAATATTGTTGTGTGAATTTGATCCTGTCATCATGATGCTAGCTGGTTATTTTGCAGACTTGTTGATAGGTCTGTTTACTTCAGTGTGTATTTTTAGTGGCTTTTAACAGTTTTTCCTTTCCATATTTAGTGCTTCCTTCAGGAGCCTTTGCAAGGCAGGCCTGCTGGTAACAAATTCCCTCAGAATTTGCTTGTCTGAAAAGGATTTTATTTCTCCTTCACTTAGGTAGTTTAGTGTGGCTAGATATGAGATCCTGGGTTGGAAAATCTTTTTTTTTTTTTTTTTTGAGACAGAGTCTCGCTGTGTTGCCCAGGCTAGAGTGCAGTGGTGCAATCTCGGCTCACTGCCAGCTCCCTCCCAGGTTCATGCCATTCTCCTGCCTCAGCCTCCTGAGTAGCTGGGACTACAGGTGCCCACCACCATGCCCGGCTAATTTTTTGTATTTTTAGTAGAGATGGGGTTTCACCGTGTTAGCCAGGATGATCTCGATCTCCTGACCTCGTGATCCACCTGCCTCAGCCTCCCAAAGTGCTGGGATTACAGGTGTGAGGGAAATTTTTTTAAGAATGTTGAGGATTGGTCCCCAGTCTCTCTTCCTTATCCTCAAAATAATATTAAAATGGATATTTGAAAAGAAACAGTTAAGAGTAGGTTGCAGCTGAGAGGAGATGCAGGCAGAGGCATAATCCTGTACAGTCTTCAATTGTGTTTTAATATGTGAATAGGTAGGAAGAAACCTGTGAAGCCTGCAAGAGAGTAGCTAGTGAGGTGCTTTGAGCTCAGTTAACATTCTACATGCGAGGAAGTGGGAAATATAAAAACCAAAAAGAAACATTAAAAATTAAACAGAGACTCAGCAATCTGTGGGAAAACATACAGGCAATTTTAGTTTCAGAAAAAGGAAATGGAATAAAACAAAATAGTAATAATACAATGGTAAACGTTTTCCAAATCTGCTAAAAATATAAGTAGAAAGATAAAAAATCTCAAGTAACTCAAGCAAGATAAATACAGAGGAAACCATACCTAGCCACACCAGAGTCAGTTTCTGAAAACTATGGAAAAGACAAAACTGTTAAAAGCAACCAAAGGAAAAAAATAGACTTTAAATACATAAGAGCAACAATAAGAATTATTGATGACTTCTTATCAGAAGAAATGCAAGTCAGAAAACAATTAAATGACAGCTTCGACATGCTGAAAGAAAATAAGTCAACTTGGAAGTTTGTATTCCACAAAAGCATCCTTCACAAATGAAGATAAAATAGACATTGTCAGAAAAAAATCTAAAATAATTAATCACCAGCAGAACTTCACTTGAAAATATATTGAAGTTCTTTAGGTTGAAAAAAAATGACACCAGATGAAAACAAGTACACAAGGGAATGAAGATCACTGTAAATGAAAATTGAGGAAAGATGTAAATTACTTATTTCAGACTTCATGTTTTCTCTAAAAGACAAGTAATTACAGTTTAAGTCAAAATAATAATACATCAAGTGGTTTATAGAAGTAAAATGCATGGGAACAATCACAAAAGATGAAAGGGGTAAATGGAAATTTATCATTGAAGTTTAGTACATTTCACATGAAGAAGTATAAGATTGTAACAAGTTAAAAATTAATATTGTAATCCCTAAAGCAACCAATTAATAAACAATAAAGAAGTAAAGCTTTTTAAAAGAACATAAAATGGAATAATAAACCTACTTTATTAGTCAAAAAAGGCATTAAAAAAGGAAAAATGAGCAAAGAACAGATGGAACAAATGGAAAAGGAATATTAAGGTAATGGACTTAAACCCAACTGTAACAATAATTACATCAAATAAAAATGGCAAAGCAATTAACTTAAATATCAGACTGAATTAAAAACAAAAATCCAACTACATGCTGTTTATAAGAAATGATTTTTACATATAAAAATACAGAAATTAAAAAGTAACAGCCAGGTACGATGACTCATGCCTATAATCCCAGCACTTTGGGAGGCTGAGGCAGGTGGATCATGAGGTCAGGAGATCAAGACCATCCTGGCTAACACGGTGAAGCCCCATCTCTACTAAAAATGCAAAAAAAATTACCCGGGTTGGTGGCACACACCTGTAGTCCCAGCTACTTGGGCGGCTGAGGCAGAAGAGCTGCTTGAATCTGGAAGGTGGAGGTTGCAGTGAGCAGAGATCGCACCACTGCACTCCAGCCTGAGTGATAGAGAAAGGCTCTGTCTAAAATTTAAAAATAAATTAATTAATTTTAAAAAGTAACATAATGATATCAAGTGGATACAGTGGCTCATGCTTGTAATCCCAGAGCTTTGGAAGGCCAAAGCAGGAAGAACACTTGAGGCCAGGAGTTTGAGACCAGCCTGGGCAATATAGCGAGACCCCCTCTCTACAATTTTTTTCTTAAATTAGGTAGGTGTGGTGCACATCTGTAGTCTGAGCTACTTGGGAGGCTGAGGTGGGAGGATCACTTGTGTGCGGGAGTTCTGGCTTAGCATGAGCTATGATCACACTACTATACTCCCACATAAGAATTTGAGTGATAAAATGAAACTCTGTCTCAAAAAAATTTGAAAAACATGCACATAATAATCATAAGTAAGCTACATTAATGTCAGCTAAAGTAGATTTTAATAAAAGAAATATTACCAGTTATAAGGACATTTATAATGACAACAGCATCAATTAAGAAAACATAGTGATCCTAAGAAATATTACCAGTTATAAGAACATTTATGAGACAACAGCATCAATTAAGAAAACATAGTGATCCTAAGTAGCGACACTCTAAAAACAGTTTTAAAATACACAAAAATAGAGGTTCAGCTTAAACACACACACACACACACAATTGATAGACTTAAGGGGAGAAATAAATAAATCCAAGTTTATAATTTTTAACACTACTCTCCCAGTAATTGATTTCCAAGGTTTAAAATTATACAAATAGAATTGAACAGGAAGGAGGCCCAGCAAGATGGCAGAATAGAAGGCTGAACTGATCACCCACCTACAAGGACACTAATTAAACAACTATCTACACAGAAGAAGTAACTTCATAAAAAACAAAAATTAGGTGAGCCCTCATAGTACCTGGATTTAACTACATACCACTGAAAGATGCAGTGAAGAAATAGAAAAAACAGTCTTGAATCACCAATACCACCCCTCTGCCACCCCTGGCAGCTGCCACATGGTGCAGAGGATCTCTGGGTGCTGGGGGAGGGAGAGAACAGCAAACGTGAGGCATTGAACTCACTGCTGTCCTATTAGAAGAGAAAGGAAAACTAGACCAAACTTAGCAGATACCTGCCAATGGAAAGAGCATTTAAACCAGCCCTAGTCAAAGGTGACTCACTGATCCCAGCAGTACAAACTTGACTTCCTACAAACCACACCACCACAGGCTACAGTGCTCTGGTGCTCTAAGTAGACATGAAAAGCAGTCTAGGCCATAAGGACTGCAATTTTTAGATAAGTCCTAATGCTGAACTGGGCCCAGGAACAGTGGACTAGGAAGGCAGAGGAGGTACTCAACCTACTGAGACACCAGCTGGGGAAGCCAAGGGAGTGCTGGAATCACCCCTCCCCTAACCCCAAGCTGCACAGCTTGCAGATCCAAAAGAGGCTCCTTCCTTCCACTTCTTCCTGGAGGGAACAATGGGGAAGACTCAAGATGTATCTTACATCTTGGATACCAGCTTTTCAACAGCAGGATGGGGCACTGGTCAGAATCACTAGGCCCCCATTCCAGGCCCTAGATCCCAGGTTACATTTCTAGACACACCCTCAGCCATAAGGGACACACTGTCTTGAGGGAGGGGCCCAATCCTGACAGTATTCACCACCTGCTAAGTAAAGAGCCCTTGGGCCCTGAACAACCAGCAGTGGTACCCAGGTACTATGCTGAGGGCCTTGGGTGAGCCTCTGAGACTTGCTGGTGAGATTCAGCACATTACCAGCTATAGCAGCTATGGGACAAAACTCCTTCTGCTTGAGAAAAGCAGAGAAAAAATAAAGGGGACTTTTTCTTGCACCTTAGGAACCAGTACAGCCACAGAGAGGTAGAGCACCAAGCAGGCTCTTGGGATCCCTGATTCAAGGACTTGACTCTTGGACAGCATCTCTGGACCTGCCCGGGGCCAGAGGGGAGCCCACTGTCCTGAATGGTGAGCTCCAGGCCAGGCAACATGTACCACAAGCTGACTTAAGAGCCCGTGGGCATTAAGTGAGCATTGGCAGTAGTCCGGCAGAACTCCCCATTGCCTGTGGTGGTGGTGGATACAGGGTGAGGCTTCTCTGCCTTTGGAAAGGGGAGGGAAGAGTAGAAAGAACTGTTTTGTGGTTTCATTGCCAGCTCAGCCACAGTACAATAGAATACAAGGTGGAATTCCAAAGTTCTGACCCTAGTCTTGACTCCTGGACAGAACCTCTAGAACCAACTGGGCCTGGGGCAACTCGCTACCTTGAAGAGAAGGATATAGGCCTAACTGGCTTTGCCAACTGCTGATTATAGAGCCCCCTAGGCCTTCGGCAAACATAGGCAGTAGCCAGGGAGTTGTTACAGCAGGAATTGGGTGAGATTCAGTGCTGTGCTGGCTTCAGGTCTGACCCAGTGCAGTTACAGTGGTGGTAGCCACAGGGGTGATTGCATCACTTCACCCTCAGATTTAGATGGCTCAGAACAGAGAGAGACTCCATTTGTTTGGTAGAAACTAAGGGAAGAGAACAAGAGTCTCTGCCTGGCAATCCAGAGAATTCTCCTGGATCTTGTCAAAGACCATCAAAACAGTACCTTTATGAGTCTGCAAGAATCACAGCATGGCTGGGCTTTGGGTGCCCCTTACAGCAGATACAGCTTAGATCACAACACCCAAGTCCTTTCAAACATCTGGAAAGCCTTTCCAAGAAAGATGGGCACAAACAAGTCCATATAGTGAAGACTACAATAACTACATAAGTCTTCCATTCCCAGACACCAAAGAACATCTATAGCATCAACACCATCTAGGAAAACATGGCATCACCAAATGAACTAAATAAGCCACCAGGATTCTCTAATTCTGGAGAAACAGAGATATGTGACCTTTCAGACAGCTAATTCAAAATAGCTGTGTTGAAGAAACTCAAATTCAAGGTAACAAAGAGAAGGAGCTCAGAATTCTGTCAGATAAATTGAATAAAGAGATTGAAACAATTAAAAAGAATCAAGCAAAAATTCTGGATCTAAAAATGCAATTGGCGGCCGGGTGCGGTGGCTCACGCCTGTAATCCCAGCACTTCGGGAGGCCGAGGCGGGTGGATCACGAGGTCAGGAGATCGAGACCATCCTGGCTAACACGGTGAAACCCCGTCTCTACTAAAAATACAAAAAATTAGCCGGGCGTGGTAGCGGGCGCCTGTAGTCCCAGCTACTCGGGAGGCTGAGACAGGAGAATGGCGTGAACCCGGGAGGCGGAGCTTGCAGTGAGCCGAGATCGCGCCACTGCACTCCAGCCTGGGCGACAGAGCGAGACTCCGTCTCAAAAAAAAAAAAAAAAATGCAATTGGCATACTGAAGAATGCATCAGAGTCTCTTAATAGCAGAATTGATCAAGCAGAAGAAAGAATTTGTGAGCTTGAAGATAGGCTACTTGAAAATACATAGCAGAGACAAAAGAAAAAATAATAAAAAACAATAAAGCACACCTACAGGGCCTAGAAAATAGCTTCAAAAGGGCAAAGCTAAGAGTTTTTGGCCTTAAAGAGGAGGTAGAGAAAGAGACAGAATTAGAAAGTTTATTGAAACAGATAATATCAGAGAACTTCCTAAACCTAGCAAAAGATATCAATATCCAAATACAAGAAAGTTATAGAACACCAAGCAGATTTAACCCAAAGAAGACTATCTCAAGGCATTTAATAATCAAACGCCCAAAATTCAAGGATAAGGAATGGATCCTAAGGGCAGAAAGAGAAAAGAAAAAAAATAACATACAATGGAGCTTCAATATGTTTGGCAGCAGACTTTTCAGTGGAAACCTTACAGACCAGGAGAGAGTGGCATGATATACTTAAAGTGCCAGAAGAAAATAACTTTTACCATAGAATAGCATATCCTGTGAAAATATCCTTCACACACTAAAGAGAAATAAAGACTTTTCCAGACAAACAAAACCTGAAGGATTTCATCAACACAAGACCTGTCTTACAAGAAATGCTAAAGGGAGTACTTCAATCACAAAGAACAGGATGTTAATGAGCCATAAGCAATCAACTGAAAGTACAAAACTTACTGATAATAGTAAGTACATGGAATAATACAAAATTTTATAATGCTGTAACCTACTGTTACTCTAAGTAGAAAGACGAAATGACAAACCAATCAAATATAATAACTACAACAACTTTTCAAAGCATATACAGTACAATAAGACAAATAGAAAAAACAAAGTTATAAAGTGGAGGGATTAAGTTAAGGCATAGAGTTTTTATTAGTTTTCTTTTTGCTTGCTTGTTTGTTTGTGGAGTGTTAAGTTGTTATCAGGTTAAAATAATGAGTTATACAATCATATTTGCAAGCCTCATGGTAACCTCAAAAAAAACATAAAATGAATACACAAAAAATAAAGAGCAAGAAACTAAATCATGTCACGAGAGAAATTCACCTTCTCTAAAGGAAGACAGGTAGGAAAGAAGAAAGAAAGAAAAAGAGAGAAAGAAAGAAAGAGAGAGAAAAGAACACCACAAAATGACCAGAAAACAAATAAGAAAACGGCAGGAGTAAGTCCTTACTTGTCAATAATAACATTGAATAGAATAAATTCTCTAAAAGATATAGAGTGGCATAATGGATGAAAAAACTAGACCCAATGATCAGTTGCCTACAAGAAACATACTTGCCCTATAAAGATGCACTTAGACTGACTATAAAGGGATGGAAAATGATATTCCATGCCAGTGGAAACCAGAAAAGGGCAGTAGTAGCTATACTGACACCAGGCAAAATAGGTTTCAAGAAAAAAGCTTTAAGAAGAGACAAAGGGTGTGGCCATTCCAAGATGGCCAAATAGGAACAGCTCTGATCTGCAGCTCCCAGCATGATCAACGCAGAAGATGGGTGAGTTCTGCATTTCCAACTGAGGTACTTGGTTCATCTCATTGAGACTGGTTGAACAGTGGGTGCAGCCCACAGAGGGCAAGCCAAAGCAGGGTGGGGCATCGCCTCACCCCGGAAGCACAAGGGGTTGGGGGATTTCAGTTTCCTAGCCAAGGAAAGCCGTGACAGACTGTACCTGGAAAAACGGGACACTCCCACTCAAATACTGTGCTTTTCCAACAGTCTTAGCAAACAGCACACCAGGAGATTATATCCCATGCCTGGCTTGGCGGGTCCCATGCCCCCAGAGCGTTGCTCACTGCTAGCACAGCAGTCTGAGATCGACTTGTGATGCAGCAGCCTGGCAGGGGGAGGGGCTTCAGCCATTGCTGAGTCATGAGTGGTAAACAAAGTGGCCAGGAAGCTCGAACTCAGCAGAACCCACTGCAGCACCGCAAGGCTTGCTGCCTCTATAGACTCCACCTCTAGAGGCAGGGCATAGCTGAACAAAAGGCAGCAGAAACTTCTGCAGACTTAAACGTCCCTGTCTGACAGCTCTGAAGAGAGCAGTGGTTCTACCATCATGGTGTTTGAGCTCTGAGAACGCACAGATTGCCTCCTCAAGTGGGTCCCTGACCCCCATGTAGCCTAACTGGGAGACACCCCCCAGTAGGGGCTGACTAACACCTCATACAGGCGGGTGCCCCTCTGGAATAAAGCTTCCAGAAGAAATATCAGATAGCAGTATTTGCTGTTCTGCAATATTCGCTGTTCTGCAATATTCGCTGTTCTGCAGCCTCCACTGGTGATACCCAGGCAAACAACAGGGTCTCAAGTGGACCTCCAGCAAACTCCAAGATACCTGCAGCTGAGGGGCCTGACCATTAGAAGAAAAATTAACAAACAGAAAGGAATAGCACCAACAAAAAGGACATCCAAGCCAATACGCCATCTGTAGGTCACCAACATCAAAGACCAAAGTTGGATAAAATCACAAAGATTGGGAGAAACCAGAGCAGGAAAGCTGAAAATTCTAAAAACCAGAGGGCCTCTTCTCCACCAAAGGATTGCAGCTCCTCACCAGCAACAGAACAAAGCTGGATGGAGGATGACTTTGACGAGTTGATAGAAGTAGGCTTCAGAAGGTTGGTAATAACAAACTACTCTGAGCTAAAGGAGGATGTTTGAACCCAGCACAAGGAAGCTAAAAACCTTGAAAAAAATTAGATGAATGGCTAACTAGAATAAACAGTGTAGAGAAGACCTTAAGTGACCTGATGGAGCTGAAAACCATGGCATGAGAACTACGTGACACATGCATAAGCTTCAATAGCCAATTTGATCAAGTGGAAGAAAGGGTATCAGTGATTGAAGATCAAATTAATGAAATATGAAAATCAAATCAATGAAATAAAGTGAGAAGAGAAGTTTACAGAAAAAAAGAGTAAAAAGAAATGAACAAAGAATTCAAGAAATGTGGGACTATGTGAAGAGACCAAATCCACGTTTGATTTGCAGTATCTGAAAGTGACTGGGAGAATGAAACCAAGTTGGAAAACACTCTTCAGGATATTATCCAGGAGAACTTCCCCAACCTAGTGAGGCAGGCCAACATTCAAATTCAGAAAATACAGAGAACACCACAAAGATACTCCTCAATAAGAGCAACCACAAGACACATAATTGTCAGATTCACCAAGGTTGAAATGAAGGAAAAAAATGTTAAGGGCAGCCAGAGAGAAAGGTCTGGTTACCCACAAAGGGAAGCCCATCAGACTAACAGCAGACCTCTCGGCAGAAACTCTACAAGCCAGAAGAGAGTGGGGGCCAATAGTCAACATTTTTGTTGTTTAATTATACTTTAACTTTTAGGGTACATGTGCACAACGTGCAGGTTTGTTACATATGTATACATGTGCCATATTGGTGTGCTGTACCCATTAACTCATCATTTAGCATTAGATATATCTCCTAATGCTATCCCTCCCCCTTCCCCAACCCCACAACAGTCCCCGGTGTGTGATGTTCCCCTTCCTGTGTCCATGTGTTCTCATTGTTCAACTCCCACCTATGAGTGAGAACATGTGGTGTTTGGTTTTTTGTCCTTGCAATAGTTTGCTAAGAATGATGGTTTCCAGCTTCATCCATGTCCCTACAAAGGATATGAACTCATCATTTTTTATGGCTGCATAGTATTCCATGGTATATATGTGCCACATTTTCTTACTCCAGTCTATCATTGTTGAACATTTGGGTTGGTTCCAAGTCTTTGCTGTTGTAAATAGTGCTGCAGTAAATACACATGTGCATGTGTCTTTATAGCAGCATGATTTATAATCCTTTGGGTATATACGCAGTAATGGGATGGCTGGGTCAAATGGTATTTCTAGTTCTAGATCCCTGAGGAATCGCCACACTGACTTCCACAATGGTTGAACTAGTTTACAGTCCCACCAACAGTGTAAAAGTGTTCCTATTTCTCCACTTCCTCTCCAGCACCTGTTGTTTCTTGACTTTTTAATGATCGCCATTCTAACTGGTGTGAGATGGTATCTCATTGTGGTTTTGATTTGCATTTCTCTGATGGCCAGTGATGATGAGCATTTTTTCGTGTGTTTTTTGGCTGCATAAATGTCTTCTTTTGAGAAGTGCCTGTTGATATCCTTCGCCCACTTTTTGATGGGGTCGTTTGTTTTTTTCTTGTAAATTTGTCTGAGTTCATTGGAGATTCTGGATATTAGCACTTTGTCAGATGAGTAGGTTGCAAAAATTTTCTCCCATTCTGTAGGTTGCCTCTTCACTCTGATGGTGGTTTCTTTTGCTGTGCAGAAGCTCTTTAGTTTAATTAGATCCCATTTGTCAATTTTGGCTTTTGTTGCCATTGCTTTTGGTGTTTTACACAAGAATTCCTTGCCCATGCCTATGTCCTGAATGGTATTGCCTAGGTTTTCTTCTAGGGTTTTTATGGTTTTAGGTCTAACATGTAAGTCTTTAATCCATCTTGAATTAATTTTTGTATAAGGTGTAAGGAAGGGATCCAGTTTCAGCTTTCTACATATGGCTAGCCAGTTTTCCCTGCACTATTTATTAAATAGGGAATACTTTCCCCATTGCTTGTTTTTGTCAGGTTTGTCAAAGATCAGATAGTTGTAGATATGCGGCATTATTTCTGAGGGCTCTGTTCTGTTCCATTGGTCTATATCTCTGTTTTGGTACCAGTACCATGCTGTTTTGGTTACTGTAGCCTTGTAGTATAGTTTGAAGTCAGGTAGCATGATGCCTCCAGCTTTGTTCTTTTGGCTTAGGAAAGAATTTTCAACCCAGAATTTCCTATCCAGCCAAACTAAGCTTCATAAATGAAGGAGAAATAAAATCCTTTACAGACAAGCAAATGCTGAGAGATTTTGTCACCACCAGGCCTGCCTTACAAGAGTTCCTGAAGGAAGCACTAAACCTGGAAAAAAACAACCAGTACCAGGCACTGCAAAAATATGCCAAATTGTAAAGACCATTGATGCTATGAAGAAAGTGCCATCAATTAATGGGAAAAATGATCAGCTGACATCATAATGACAGGATTAAATTCACACGTAACAATATTAACCTTAAATGCAAATGGGCTAAATGCCCCAATTAAAAGACACAGACTAGAAAACTGGATGCAGCATACATCAGTGTGCTGTATTCAGGAGACCCATCTCATATGCAAAGACACACATAGGCTCAAAATAAAGGGATAGAGGAATATCTACCAAGCAAATGGAAAGCAAAAAAAAAAGCAGCAGTTGCATTCCTAGTCTCTGATAAAACTGACATTAAACCAACAAAGATCAAAAGAGACAAAGATGGCCATTACACAATGCTAAAGAGATCAATTCAACAAGAAGAGCTAACTATCCTAAATATATATGTACCCAATATAGGAGCACCCAGATGCATAAAGCAAGTCCTTAGAGACCTACAAAGAGACTTAGACTCCCACACAACAATAATGGGAGGTTTTAAAACCCCACTGTCAATATTAGACCTACCAACAAGAAAGAAGGTTAACAAGGATATCCAGGACTTGAATTCAGCTCTGCAACAAGCAGAACTAATAGACATCTACAGAACTCTCCACCCCAAATCAACAGAATATACATTCTTCTCAGCACCACGTCACACTTATTCCAAAATTGACCACATACTTGGAAGTAAAGTACTCCTCAGCAAATGTAAAAGAACAGAAATCAAAACAAACAGTCTATCAGACCACAGTGCAATCAAATTAGAGCTCCGGATTAAGAAACTCACTCACAGCCACACAACTACATGGAAACTGAACAACCTGCTCCTGAATGACTACTGTGTAAATACGAAATGGAGACAAAAATAAAGATGCTCTTTGAAACCAGTGAGAACGAAGACGCAACGTACCAGAATCTCTGGGACACATTTAAAGCAGTGTGTAGAGAGAAATTTATAGCAGTAAATGCCCACAAAAGAAAGAAGGAAAGATCTAAAATCAACACCCTAACATCACAATTAAAAGAACTAGAGAAGCAAGAGCAAACAAATTGAAAAGCTAGCAGAAGGCAAGAAATAACTAAGATCAGAGCAGAACTGAAGGAGATAGAGACACAAAAAACCCTTAAAAAAATCAATGAAACCAGGAGTTGGTTTTTTGTAAAGATCAACAAAACTGATAGACTGCTAGCAAGACTAATAAAGAAGAAAAGAGAGAAGAATCAAATAAATGCAATAAAAAATAAAGGGGATATCACCACCCATCCCACAGAAATACAAACTATCATCAGTTAACACTATAAACACCTCTATGCAAATAAACTAGAAAATCTAGAAGAAATGGATGAATTCCTGGACACATACACCCTCCCAAGACTAAACCAGGAAGAAGTGGAATATCTGAATAGATCAATAACAGGCTCTGAAATTGAGGCAGTAATAGCCTACCAACCAAAAAAAGCCCAGGACCAGATGGATTCACAGCCAAATTCTACCAGAGGTACAAAGAGGAACTGGCACCATTCCTTCTGGAACTATTCCAATTAATAGAAACAGAGGGACTCCTCCCTAACTCATTTTATGAGGCTAGCATCATCCTGATACCAAAGCCTGGCAAAGACACAACCAAAAAAGAGAATTTTAGAACAATATTCCTGATGAACATCAATGCAAAAATCCTCACTAAAATAGGGGCAAACGTAATCCAGCAGCACATCAAAAAGCGTATCCACCACAATCAAGTCAGCTTCATCCCTGGGATGCAAGGCTGGTTCAACATATGCAAATCAATAAATGTAATCTATCACATAAACAGAACCAAACACAAAAACCACATGATTATCTCAATAGATGCAGAAAAGGCCTTTGACAAAATTCAACAGCCCTTCACGCTAAAAACTCTCAATAAACTCGGTATTGATGGAACGTATCTCATAAGAGCTATTTATGACAAACTCACAGCCACTATGATACTGAATGGGCAAAAACTGGAAGCATTCCCTTTGAAAACTGGCACAAGACAAGGATGCCCTCTCTCACCACTCTTATTCAACATGGTATTGGAAGTTCTGGCCAGAGCAATCAGGCAAGAGAAAGAAATAAAGGGTATTCAATTAGGAAAAGACAAAGTCAAATTGCCCCCGTTTGCAGATGACATGATTGTATATTTAGAAAACCCAACGTCTCAGCCCAAAATCTCCTTAAGCTGATAAGCAACTTCAGCAAAGTCTCAGGATACAAAATCACGGTGCAAAAATGACAAGCATTCCTATACACAAATAACAGACAAACAGAGAGCCAAATCATGAGTGAACTCCCATTCACAATTGCTACAAAGAGAATAATATACCTAGGAATCCAACTTACAAGGGATGTGAAGGACCTCTTCAAGGAGAACTACAAACCACTGCTCAATGAAATAAAAGAGGATACAAACAAATGGAAGAGCATTCAATGCTCATAGATAGAAAGAATCAATGTCGTGAAAATGGCCATACTGGCCAAGGTAATTTATAGATTCAATGCCATCCCCATCAAGCTACCAATGTCTTTCTTCACAGAATTGGAAAAAACTACTTTAAAGTTCATATGAAACCAAAAAAGAGTCCGCATTGCCAAGACAATCCTAAGCCAAAAGAACAAAGCTGGAGGCATCACGCTACCTGACTTCAAACTATATTACAAGGCTATAGTAACCAAAACAACATGGTACTGGTACCAAACAGATATATAGACCAACGGAACAGAACAGAAACCTCAGAAATAACACCACACATCTACGACCATCTGATCTTTGACAAACCAGACAAAAACAAGAAATGGGGAAAGTATTCCCTATTTAATAAACGGTGCTGGGAAAACTGGCTAGCCATACGTAGAAAGCTGAAACTGGATCCCTTCCTTATACCTTATACAAAAACGAATTCAAAATGGATTAAAGACTTACATGTTAGACCTGAAATCATAAAAACCCTAGAAGAAAACCTAGGCAATACCATTCAGGACATAGGCATTGGCAAAGACTTCATGACTAAAACTCCAAAAGCAATGGCAACAAAAGTCAAAATTGACAAATGGGATCTAATTAAACTAAGGAGCTTCTGCACAGCAAAAGAAACTACCATCAGAGTGAAGAGGCAACCTACAGAATGGGAGAAAATTTTTGCAATCTACCCATCTGACAAAGGGCTAATATCCAGAATGTACAAAGAACTCATACAAAATTACAAGAAAAAAAACAAACAACCCCATCAAAAAGTGGGTGAAGGATATGAACAGACACTTCTCAAAAGACGACATATGCAGCCCACAGACACATGAAAAAATGCTCATCATCACTGGTCATCAGAGAAATGCAAATCAAAACCACAATGAGATACAATCTTACCAGTAAGAATGACAATCATTAAAACATCAGGAAACAACAGATGCTGGAGAGGATGTGGAGAAATAGGAATGCTGTTACACTGTTGGTGGGAGTGTAAATTAGTTCAACCATTGTGGAAGACAGTGTGACGATTCCTCAAGGATCTAGAACTAGAAATACCATTTGACCCAGTGATCCCATTACTGGGTTTATACCCAAATGATTGTAAATCATGCTACTATAAAGACACATGCACATGTATGTTTATTGCGGCACTACCCCCCAATAGCAAAGACTTGGAACCAACCCAAATGTCCATCAATAATAGACTGGATTAAGAAAATGTGGCACATATCCATCATGCAATACTATGCAGCCATAAACAAGGATCAGTTCATGTCCTTTGCAGGGTCATGGATGAAGCTGGAAACCATCATTCTCAGCAAACTATCACAAGGACAGAAAACCATACACTGTATGTTCTCACTCATAGGTGGAAATTGAACAATGAGAACACTTAGACACAGGGAGGGGAACATCACACACCGGGTCCTGTCGTGGGGTGGGGGGCTGGGGGAGGGATAGCATTAGGAGAAATACCCAGTGTAAATGACGAGTTAATGGGTGCGGCAAACCAATATGGCACATGTATACCTATGTAAGAAACCTGCACGTTGTGCACATGTACCCTGGAACTTAAAGTATAATAAAAAATAAAAATAAAGAAAAAAAAGAAGAGACAAAGAAAGTCACTATATAATGATAAACAAGTCAATTCAGCAAGTGGATATAACTATTTTAAATATATATGCACCCAACTCTGGAGCACCCAGATATATAGGGCAAATATTATTAGAGTTAAAGGAGAGAGATAGGTTCCAACACAATAATAGCTAGAGACTTCGACACCCCCAACTTTCAGCATTGGATAAATTTTTCAGACAGAAAACCAACAAAGAAACATCACACATAATCTGCAGTGTAGACGAGATGGATCTAATAAATATTTACAGAATATTTCAACCAATTGCTACAGAATACACATTCTCCTCAAAATATGCCTTAGTCTCAGGACAGACCATATATTAGGTCACAAAACAAACCTTAAGACATTCAAAAAATTGAAATAATATGAAGCATTTTCTCTGACCACAATGGAATAAAAGTAGAAATTGATAAAAAGAGGAATTTTGGAAATTATACAAATACATGGAAATTAAACATTATGTTCCTGAATGACCACTCGGCCAATATAGAAACTGGGATGGGAATTGAAAACTTCCTTGAAACAAATGATAATGGAAACACAACATGCCAAATCTAGGGGATACAGCAAAAGCGGTATTGAGAAAGCAGTTTTAACTATAAGCACCTACAACCACAAAGAGAAAAAACTTCAAATAAACAATCTAATGATGCACCTTAAAGAATTAAAAAAGCAAGAGCAAACCAAACCCAAAATTAGAAAAGAAACAATAAAGATCAGAGCAGGAATAAATGAAATTGAAATGAAGAAAACAATACAAAATACCATTGAAATAAAAAGTGGGTTCTTTTGGAAAAGATAAAATTGACAATCGTTTAGCTACATTAAGAAATAAAGGGAAAAGATCCAAATAAAATCAGAAATGAAAGAAAAGACATTACAACTGATATTCCAGATATTCAAAGGAACATTAGTGGCTACCATGAGCAAGTATACACTAACAATTTGGAAAATCTAGGAGAAATGCACAAATTCATAGACACAAACAACCTACTAAAATTGAACCAGGAAAAAATCCAAAACCTGAACAGACCAATAACAATAACAGATCAAAGCCATAATAAAAAGTTTCCCAGCAATGGGAAGCCTGGGACCCAATGGCTTCACTGCTGAATTGTACCAAACATCTGAAGAACTAATGCCAAGCCTACTCAAACTATTCCAAAAAACAAAGAAGAAGGGAATTCTTCTAAACTCATTCCACAAGACCAGTTTTACTCTGATACCCAAACTAGACAAAGATACATTTAAAAAAATATCTGATGAATATTGATGCAAAAATCCTCAATAAAATACTAGCAAACCAAATTTAATAATATATTAGTAAGATTATTTACCATGACCAGGTGGAATTTATCCCAGAGATGCAAGGATGGTTCAACATAGGCATATCAATCAGTGTAATACAATGGAATGAAGAATAAAAATCATATGATTTTTATTTAAATTGATGCTGAAAAAGCATTTGATAAAATTCAACATCCCATCATGATAAAAAAAAAATCCTCAAAAGACTGGGGCTAGAAGGAATAAAGCTCAACATAATGAAAGCCATATATGACAGACCCACAGCTAGTATCATACTAAATGGGGAAAACTGAAAGTCATTCCCCTAAGATCTGGAACATCACAAGGCTGCCCACTTTAACCATCTGGAACATGAAAAGGATGCCAACTTTAACACTGTTATTCAACATAGTACTGGCAGTCCTAGCTAGAGCTGCCAGACAAGAGAAAGTAATTAAAGGGCATACAAATTGGAATGAAAGAAGTCAAATTATCCTTGTTTGCAGAAGATGTAATATTATATTAGAAAAACATAAAGATTCCACGAAAAACTATTAGAACTGATAAACAAATTCTGTAAACTTGCAGGATAAAAAAAATCAACCCACAAGTATCAGTAGCATTTCTATATGCCAACAGTGAGCATTCTGAAAAAGAAATTTAAAAAATAATCCAATTTATAAGAGCCTTGATATGGTTTGGCTCTGTGTCCCCACCCAAATCTCATCTCAAATTTTAATCTTCGTATGTCAAGGGAGGGACCTGGTGGGAGGTGATTGTGTTATGGAAGGCAGTTTCCTTCAGGCTGTTCTGGTGGTATGGAGTGGATTCTCATGAGGTCTGATGGTTTAAAAGTGTATGGTAGTTCCCACCCCTCCTGCCATCACGTAAGACGTGCCTTGCTTTCTCTTCCCCTTCTGCCATGATTGTAAGTTTCCTGAGGCCCCCCAGCCATGCAAAACTGTGAGTCAATTAAATATTTTTTTCATAAATTACCCAGTCTCAAGTACTTCTTTATAGCAGTGTGAAAATGGATTAATGCAAGCCTCAAATAAAATTAAATGCCTAGAATTAATCAAAGAAGTGAAAGAGCTCTATAATTATAACCATAAAACACTGATGAAAGAAATTGAAAAGGACACAAAAAGCTAGAAAAATCTTCCATGTTCATGGACTAAAAATAGTAATATTGTTAAAATATCCATACTCCTCTAAGCAATATACAGATCCAATTCAATCCCTATAAAAATACCAATGACATTCTTCATAGAATTCGAAAAAAACAATCCTGAAATTTGTATGGAACCACAAAAGACCCAGAATAGCCAAAGCTATCCTAAGCAAAAAGAACAACACTAGAGTATAATCTCTATACTTAGAGAGGGGGGAGAGAGAGACAATCAAGCAATCAATTAATAAATTAATAAAATACATATATGTATATGTGCAGATAGTGATACTTCTGTAAAAAGTAAAGCAAGGAAGGGAAAGTAAGGATGAAATTTTAAGTAGCATGATTAGGAAAACAAGTTACCATTTGATCCACTATTTTGAAATAACGATACGGAATATGCCAAGTATCAACATTTGTTAAGTGCCTACTATGAGTTAGGTACTAGTGACACAACTGTAAACTATAAAAATAATCCTTGCTTTAACAGAGCTTACAGAATCAAGGGTTATGCAGCCAATAAACAGGCAATTGCAATTTGGCACATTAGTTGATATGGTGGTGGGACACTTGAATGGGCCACTAACTTAAAGAATGATGGAATTTTTACTGGTAGAAATAACTTTTATGCCAAAACCTAAAGGATAAGGAATTATCAAAAGTAAGGAGAAAGGGAGGGAGGAGAACAATCCAAATATAAAGAACAAGATGCTAATGACCAGAGGCTGGAGAAAGAAACTATGCCCTCAACAGAGAACTGAAAATGGTTTAATAAAAGTATAAAACAAAAAATGGGACTGAAGAGAAAAGCAGGTGTCATTCAGATCAAAGCTTTCTAAGCAATGAAAAGGATTTTAGACTTTTGAGGGATTTTCAGCAGGGATAGATAAAGATATAATCATAAGAATTATATTTTAAAAAATTACTCTGTCATGTGGAAGAAAGAGTAAAGGAATGCAATACTGGAGAGAAACAAACCAGTAAGGAGGTTATTACTATTATCTAGAGGTAAAAATGATGATGGCCAAAGTTGAAAAGTAGCAGTGAAGATTCACAGAAATTGATAAATTTGAGATACTTAGGAAGTAGAATCAATGGTGACTACTTGAAATGAGAAAGTAAATAAAGTAAATAAAGTAAAGTAAACTCTAGGCACAATGACCAGAGTTCTGGCTTGAATAACTGGTTGGTATCCGTTATGGGCTGAATTGTGTCCTCCCCAAATTTGTATGCAGAAGTCCTAATGCCCCATAGCTCAGAATGTGACTGTGTTTGGAGATAGGGTCTTGAAAGAGGTGGTTTAGTTAAAATGAAGTCATTAGGGTAGACCCTAATCAAATGTGATTGGTGTTCTTAGAAGAAGAGGAAATTAGAATGCAGACACACACAGAAGGAAGGCCATCTGAAGACATCAGGAGAAGTTGGTCATCTACAAGCCAAGAATAGAGGAGATGATGAAGTCTTCTTGGAGAAATTAAATTTTAAGCATCTAGTGAGATAAGGTGCAAGGTAAATTTTACAATGCAGTTGAGGCTTCTGCAGAGACAAAATCAAAACAATTAAGGGTAGACATCCATAGTGCAGAATATTCTTGACTCCCAAGAAAAACAGCTTCTCCTGAAGACTAGCTCACAAAGATTACAAACCACAAAAGGAAATAAAGCTTTTTGAAGGAGTCAGCTAAAGCAATGGAGGAATGTATACCCCAAAACTGAACATAGCAATCTCTAAAAGAGAAATTGAAGCTATGAGGCAAGAAAAGAAAGATAGGGAAAAATATACAATGATTTGTATATTCTAAAAACAATTATAAACTAACCCTTAGATGTTATGAGATTCCTTACTGAAAGAAGTTTATATTCATATATTTAAAGAATATCCAATGTATCAACATATTTATTTATAATAATTATATTATCATGATAAAATTTTAATTAAAAGTATCTAAAAGTACATGTAAAGTTATTAAAGAAAAGCTGTCAAAGGTAAAATTATCATAAATTTATTTCAAATAAATTATATATCCAATCATAAAATATGTGCATCAGAGTTGTTGGTAAATAGAGTTATGGTATTAAATTCTAGAACTCTGTGGCCCACAACCATTTTATTTTGAAAATATTGTGATTGATTAAATAATTATTTATTCTTATAATCACAAAAATACACAGTAGAAATTAAATTATAATGCTAAAGCAGGACACTTATCTTTGCTTTTCTCTAACTCCAAGAGGTTTCTCAACTTCTTAAAATGTTAGGAAAGTCTTTCTCTAAAATTTGATGATGACTATCTGTCCAGTAATGTCTTATTTGCTATATTTTTCCCCAAGAAGCCAAGTGATATCTCATGCAAACACAACTCTTGTGACTTTATGTTTATTGTGTGTGTGTGTTTATCCAGTATTGCTAGAGAGTATGTGCTAATCTTTTTAACATTAAACTTAAATTATCAAATATAAGCAAGCATTAATTATAGACCAAAAGGCATACGATACATGAGAATTTTTCTTTAAAATTGAAAGACATTCAGCAAATGTTGGAAATGGATAGCCACATGCAAAAAAATGAAGCTGGACCCTTTCCTTCAACCATTTACAAAAAGTAACTCAAACTGAATTAAAAACTCAATGTAAGAATGAAAACTATAAAACTAGTAGAAGAAAAAACAGAGCAAAATCTTCATATCATTGTGTTTGGCAATGATTTCTTGAGAGACACCAAAAGCACAGGCAACAAGTGAAACAATAAATGAATAAACGTCATCAAAATTAAAAATTTTTGTGCATCAAGGGACACCATCAATAGAGTGAAATGACAGTCTACCGAATGGGAGAAAAATATTTGCAAATTATATATCTGATAAGGGATCAACATCCAGAATATATAAAGAACTCCAACTCAACAACAAAAAAAACCCTGATTTTAAAATGGGCAAAAGACTTGAATGGACGTTTATCCAAAGAAGATATACAAAGGGCCAATAAACACATGAAAATATGTTCAATATCACTAATCATTAAGGAAATGTAAATCAAAACCATAGTGAGATCTCACTTCACATTAATTAGAATAGCTATTATCAAAAAGAGGACAATAACTTGGGGAGGATGTGCAGAAATTGGAACCCTTGTGTATTGCTGGTAGGAAGGTGAAATGGTGCAGCCACTATGGACAATGATATGGTTGCTCCTCAAAGAATTAAAAATAGAATTACTATATGACCCTGTAGTTCCACATCTGAGAATATACTCAAAAGAATTAAAGCAGGGACTTGAACAGATATTTGTATACCCATGTTCATGGCAGCATTACGTATTTATAATAGCCAAAAGGTGGAAACTAACTAACTATCCATCAACCATCAACAGAAGAATGGATAAGGAAAATATGGGATATACATATGATGAAATATTATTCAAAGTTAAAAATGAAGGAAATTCTGACACGTGCTATAACTTGGAGGAACTTTGAAAACATCATGCTACGTGAAATAAGCCATTCATAAAAGAACAAATATTGTATTATTCTACTTATATGAGGCACCTAAAGTAGTCAAATTTATAGAGATGGAAAGTAGAATGGTGTTTGCCAGGGGCTAGGGAAAGAAGCAATAGGAACTTAGTGCATAGAGGTACAGTTTCAGTTGGGGAAGATGAAAAAGTTCTGAAGATGAATGGTGATAATGGTTGCACAATAACATGAATGTACTTAATGGTATAGAGCCATACGCTTTCACATGGTTAAGACAGTAAATTTCATTTATGTATATTTAACCACAATTTTTAATGAAAAATATATTTTTAACACACATCAAAAATGTAACTGCAGTATTGTTAGGATTGAAGTAATAAATGATTATTTTTGCCATGATTTATAATACCACCAGGGCTATGGCAATGGATACATTTTCTATTCTTCTATCCTCCCACACAAACTCTGCAACCTGTGAAATAATCTGAAGGTGAAAAGCTGTTTGACATAAAAGAGGCTTAAATTTGCAATCCTTATCCAGTGGAAGTTTGAATTTGTCCTTCAAAGCTTTAACATCTTGCATACTATTTGCCACCTAATGTACATTCTTGTGACATACTTTCCCAAAAATAGATTAATTTCATCTTTATTGGGTGAACTATCCTTCTTCTAAGAAATTACATTATCAGCACTTGCAGCCTCTGTCTTCACTTTGATGTTGTGCACATTCAAACAGGCCTTGAACCTATAGAACTCGCTGTAATCTAAAGTAATAATCTTGTCAATCTCATTTTCACCATGCTTGGCTTTTAACTCCTCCAAAAGACTCCTAGCTGTCTGAATGCACAATAACCTAACAATCTTTCAACTTTGATACTGATCCTCTAGCCTCACATTCAAATATTTTCAGTTTCGTCAATCAATTTTCCTAGTATCAATTGCAAAGGCCCAGAACTTTTCACAAACAATAGGTGACCCCTTCTTATTCTTCTCAGTTGTTTCTACTGTGAAGTAATTCATCCCATAAGCTATATTAACATATGTTTACCTTTTCTGACTCTTTAATTTTTACTGTTTATCCTTTTTCTTATAAGTACTTAGACAGCCAATGTGACGAATGCCAGCCAGGTATAGGCATTTAAAATGAATAGGCTACACATAAAAAGGAATAAGATAATGGCATTCACAGCAACCTGGATGGAGTTAGAAATCATTATCTAAGTGAAGTAACTGAGGAATGGAAAACCAAACATTGTTATTGTCTCACTTATAAGTGGGAGCTAAGCTATGAGGACACAAAGGCATTAGAATGATATAATGGACTTTGGGGACTCGGGGGATGGGAGGGGGGTGAGGGATAAAAGACTACACATTGGGTACAGTGTATACTGCTCAGGTGACGGGTGCACCAAAATCTCAGAAGTCACCACTAAAGAACTTATCCATGTAACCAAACACTGCCTGTTCCCCAAAAACTATTGAAATAATAAATAAAATAAAAATAAAAATGAATAAGCTACATGTAAAAGTGATTGCTGGGGTTTATAGCAAAACTGAAAAGTGTATGTTCACTTCAAAGGACACAAATTGAGTAAAAAATAAAAACAAAAACAATGAGTTGACAAAATAAAACAGCTTATAGTCCAAGGGGCACTTATTTATGACTAACGCAATGCAGTAACCAATAACACGCAGGCCAACATTAAAATGACTAGATAACTCAATACTGTTTATTGACGGTGAGAGGAACTCAAACAATTTGCTCTGAAACATAGCTTTGTTCATGTCTATGAAAGTTCCAAACTGACCTTAAGTAAAGAATCACTGGAATAGCATTATTAGAACAAAGAAAACAAGTTTTGGAAAAAAAAAAAAGAGAGCTATTGGCAACTACAGGATAATGGTGAAAAGGTGGTAGATGAGTAATAGTTTTTATATTTCTTAGCCTAATTTTATTCTAATTTGGATAATATATTTGTCTGGACATTTATATTTTCATAGCCTTTAATTTTAATGTTAATCAGAAAAGAAAGCAAATATGACTCATTTAAACACTTGGACTCCTTGGAGACACATTATATACAACATTACACAGAAAACAAGGAAGTTATATATTGCAGTTGCAAGCATTTGTTAAGTTGAAATCCTTTGCAATGTTGCAGGATAAAACAACGAAATCTACTTTCTAAATGAGGAACATAACTAAAACTGGGCTAACACCTTGTTGTAGTTAAGAGGCAAGCCATGCTGTCTCGCTAATAACATGAAACCACTGACTTGATACCAAAAAATGATGGGGTGGGGCACCTTCCAGAGTGTGGTTAAACGCAAATTTGCCATCTGCCTTGCAGGGCTGGTTATCAATGGGGTGAGCTCTATGAGGAAACCTTTTTATTAAAGATGCATAAGGTGATAGTGTAAATGAGGAAGCAGCACAGCAAAGGTGGGCATCTGCCCAAGGATCCATTTTGATTTGGAGTTTGGAAAGCTGATATACTCCAGGTTAAATTTTTGCTAATGTTCGTTTTCTTATTGCTTGTGTGTGTGCTTTATTTTTCTCTTCTTTCATTTCACTAATACATAAAGCAAGATTTGTATAATGACTAGTTAACCACTTGTAAGTCCCAAATGATCCATTTGTTTTTCTCTTCATAAAAATCTCCATGCCCCTTATATTAACTTAGAGCCTGCAGCACAAAAAGGACTCAAGAAATCTGAGTTAATAAATGAATAAGTGTTCAAAAGTCAGGAACATGTAGCAATAATCACTGAATTATTCTAAATTTTTAAATAATTAAAATAAAAATTGCCAGTGTACTAATGAATATGACACAAAACGGGGGTCTAATTATAAAGCATAATCTATCATACATGCATTTCTACTTGTACTATGATTTATCTCACTTGCATTAGAACTGCCAAAAAGAAGAATGAAATAAATATGTAATAGATTTAACACTTGTTTTTTTTTTTAATTTCAGGTTTGCGATCTTAATTTTTGCAATGACCATCAAGTGGGACCAATATGTTCATTTACCATATGTAGATTGAACCTTATGAAAATGCAGGCGGATATGCACACAGTATGATATCAGGAAAGCCATACAGAATCACTAATCTATACTTACTGCTTTCACTCCCTTGGGTTTATGTTCTGCTCTCCAAAGGTGACTTGAAAAAAAAAAAGATATATATATATACAGGAGAAGGACAGGGAGACTTCTGTACATATTTCTTTTGACCAGAATAGCTGGCTACCATTTTGGATAATGGGAAAAACACCCTGGTGAGAGACCATGCAACAGATAACTTTTGATAACACCAGGTGCAGGGATTGACGCAACCCAGAGTGTAGGCATGCCAAGTGACCTAGCATCCAGGTAACTGGGCAGTAACACTGGAAGAGAGAAGTCATAGACAAAACCAAAAACCCCCACAATTTTGCATCTCCTGCATTTAGCTATCAGGAGAGGGCTGCTGTAACACACAACCTTGTCCCCCCAACACCAATAAGCACTGTTCTGTTTTTAACTCCAGGCAGGCACTCAAAAAAAGTGTGTGTGTGTGTGTGTTTTTTGTTATTAAAGACTGCTGTGTAAGGGTCAAATAAATCATTATATTGACTTACTCATGTTAAATTCTTAAAAACTCAAACACCCTTTAGTCAAATCCACACTGAACAAAAAAAAAGCCATGTTAATGTAAGAAACTTAATACTGAAATAACTCCATCAGTAAGAATTCATGGTTTTTCACTTGCTTTTATTAGAAATATCCTTATACCCTCAAATGTTAATTTAGAGTATATATACTCACACTATCCAATGACACATTTCTCTTTCTGTACTAGGTAACAGAAAAAAACTAAACATTGATTTGGAGAACACAGAAGAAAATTATTTGTTTAATGAGATAAGTGACACTACCAACCCATATGGCTATTAAATATGCACCTTCAAATGCTTATACACTGTTGGTGGGAATGTAAACTAGTTCAGCCACTGTGGAAAGCAGTTTGAGGATTTCTCAAAGAATTGAAAATGGAGCTACCATTTGACCCAGCAGACCCAGCAATCCCCATTACTGGGTATACATCCAAAGGAAAATAGATTATAATACCAAAAAGATACATGCATTCATATGGTCGTTGCCATGCTATTCACAATAGCAAAGACATGGAATCAATCTAGATGCCCAGCAATGGTGGATTGGACAAAGCATGGTACATATACCCTATGGAATATTACGCAGCCACAAAAAAGAATGAATTCATATCCTTTGCAGCAACATGAATGCAGCTGGAGGCCATAATCCTAAATGAATTAATGAAGGAACAGGAAACCAGTTACCATACTACATGTTCTCACTTGTAAGTGGTAGTTAAACATTGAGCATATATAGGCATAAAGATGGAAACAATAGACACTGTGAAGGGAAAGAGACAGGGGGACATGAGTTGAAAACCACCTATTGGGTATTATGCTCACTACCTGGATGTAATACACCCATGTAACAAATCTACACAAGTACCCCTGTATCTAAAATAAAAGCCAAAAAACTATAACAACAACAACAAAAATAGGTACCTTCAGTTGTTTCTTTTTTTCTGACAGTGCTGACAAAGCTGTGCACTTATTCATGCATTCTCAGTTGGACTCACCTTTAGCCAATGCTCCGTATTTACAACACCAGCAAGTAAGAGGAGTGATCTTAATTATGCACACTGGGGACATAAAATCAATACCATTTGATTTATTTATTAGTATCTGTTAGCACTAAGAGAACCTGTGGCTATTTGAGTGACCCTCTCAAACTGCAATAGCTAAAGCAAGAACACTAATATCTGAGATGAACAAGACCAAGAAGTTAAGACTTCTAAACTTACAAAGAAAGAATGAGATAATGAATTACTGACAAAATATGAAGGGTAATGTTATGTTATTTTTGAAGGTCTCCTTTGCAACCCAAATATATTGCTTTTTATTAAAAGACATAAAACAGGTCATATTGTTAGATTTCTTTCTCCTGAAATAAGGCAGCAGTCATATTTTTCTTCTTGTAAGGTTGACAAGTGAAAGGAACTTAGGTACAAATTACAGCACCATCTATCTGTGTGTCTATCAAGAGAGAGCACAGGAGAGGGAAAGAGAGAGACAGAGAGAGAGAGAGAGAGAGAGAGAGACAGAGTTAATCCACATGATCCTGTCATTCTGTGCAGCATTTACCACAAGAGAAAACAGCAAAGAAAGCTCTGGTTGTGTTCTATAATGCACTAGCAAACATTAAAATTCAGGGCATGAAATCTTTGGATAAAAGGTTTAGGTAATTTAATTGGTAGATCTCAGAGATAAAAATTACTCCCATGGGAATTTTTATAATGTCATTTGTCAATCCAGTCCAAACATGTTTTCTGTCTTGCCTGTTTACAAAATGGCTTAGCCCCTCCGTTTTTTCAACAAAACTTGCTCAAAAAATATTAACTCTTTTTTAATTCTAGGAAGACAAGAGAGTCATTCTTTGGGAATGAGAGGAAGAACCTCTAAGTTGAAGGTGGGGCTCCAGAATGCCCTCACACATAGAATATTATTTTTTCACCTCCACTGAACATACTTCAGATATCACTCCCACTGAAGATGTGTGCTGAGTTTGCCAGGGAAATTTCAGGCCTCCCAATTTTAGATGGGAGGTGAAATATCTCTACTATCTCCTCTCCTTTCCCTTAGAGGTCACCTGATATACAGCTCATGAGGATTAACTGTTCCAACCCATCAGAGGCCTCTCTAGAAAGAGTCTAACAGCCACATGATTAACATTCAGAGCTTATTACAGAAGTGGTGTTCTGTATTATACAAGGATTTGCAGGATCTCCCTGACCCTGAAAGGCATTTTACCTGGGACTTGGCAAGTGGAGCATTAAACAATGCATAGGAAATAAATTACCTATTTTTCCAAATGTAGATCTTTTCATTAACAATAGTTTGTATTTATCTTTATAGCCATGACTATCTGTAAGATTTTAATTTAATTACAGAGTTGTGAACATAAGAAACAATTGGAAGAGGTCCAAAGGTCAATGAACAGAGACCCAGAAGTAGATGCCCAGTTGATTTATGATAATGGTACAAAGACAATTCAATGGAGGACAGATTGCCATTTTAACAAATGGTTCTACAGCATTTGGATATCTCTAGACAAAAGAAAATAAATAAAACTCTACCCAAGTCTCACACCTCATACAAAAATTCCCTCAAGATGCATCATGAAAGTAAATGTAAAATATAAAACTTCTAGAAAAAGCATAGGACAAACTCTTTGGATCTCAGCCAGGCAGAGTTTTAAACACCAAAAGCACAATCCATAAAAGGGAAAATTGATAAATTAGTCTTCATCAAAATTAAAAACTTTTGTTCTATGACAGCCTATGTGAAGAAGATGAAGAGACAAGTTATAGACTGGGGAAAAAATTGCAAGCCACATATTTGATAAAAGACTAGTATCTAAAATATGCTTTAAAAAACTCACAAAACTCAACAGAAACAAAAATCTAGAAAATGGAGAAAAGAACTGACAAGACATTTCAATTTAGAGGATATACAAATGGCCAGCAAGAATGTGAAAAGACATCCAACATCACTAGCCATTAAGAAAATGCAGATTAAAATTACAGTAAATATCACTATATGTCTCTCAAAAGGATTAAGATAAAAACCAGTAACAACATCAAACACTGGTGGATTATGGAGAAATTGAGTCACTTGTGTGTTGCTGGTGGAGATGTAAAATGATACAGCCACTCTAGAAAACAGTTTGACAGCCTGTTATATAAACTATACAAGCAACAAAAATACAACCCAGCAATTGCACTCCTGGGCATTTATTCTAGAAAAAATTAAAGTTTATATTTACACAAAACATGTATATGAATGTTTGTAGCAGCTTTATTTGTGACAACCAAACACCAGACAACTCTTATGTCCTTCAGTGAGTGAATGGTTAAACAAACTGTGGTACATTCATACTATGGGATACTACTCAGCAATAAAAAGGAACAAACTACCAATGAGCCCAGCAATCTGAATGAATCTCTGGAGAATTATCCTGAGTGGGAAAAAATTCCAAAAGGTTATATGCTACATGTTTTCATTTATATAACATTCTTGAAATGGCAAAAAAATATATGTTACAGAAATAATGGAGAACAGATTAGTAGTTGCTAGTGGTTAAGGAGACGGTAGGGGCTAGAAGGATGTGGGTATGGATATAAAAAGGCAACATGAGGGATCCTGTGGTAGTGAAAATGTTCTCTATCTCCCCCTGTGATCCACCTATTTATCCCTCCCCTCTCCTTCAGCCCTGGACAACCATTAATCTTTTCACTGGCTTTTTACACGCAGCAATATGCATTTAAAGTTTCTCCATGTCTTTTCATTGCTTGACAGCTTATTTATTTCTATTCCTGAATAATATTCTAATATGCGGATGTTTCACAGCTTGTTTGTTCACTCATTATTAGTTACCTATGTTTCTTCCCATTTTTGGCAATAATGAATAAAGGTGCAATAAAATTTTAAAAAACAAAAATGTTGTGTATCTTGACTGCATGAATGTCAATATCACATTTGTAATAATGTACTATAGTTTTGCAAGATGTTACCATTGGGGGAAACTGCACAAAGGGTACATGGACTCTGTATTATTTCTTAAGAATTCAGGTGACTCTACAATTATATCAAAATAAAAAGCTGAATTAAAAATAATATGGATCTATTGGGTAAATGGCAAAAGGCAGCAAAGTAGTTAAAAGAACCTTAGGTAAAGGAAAATTAGATAAATGAATCTTAAAACTGAGGCCATAGTATTATGTTTCTGAAATTTATTCTGAATTTTGGGCCTCCATAGGCTTTTTTTGCACTATTTCTTGTTGAGAATCATTACTCCTATTGAATACAATGATATAATTTAGAATATACAAAGCACTGATTTAGGAATAGTCACATTTCTGAAACTTGGAAGCCGTGAACTTGAGCAATTCACAAGCTCCCTGGGCTTCAATTTCCTCAGCTATAAAATAAGAATTACAATAGCATTGTGTGGTTCAAATAAGATAAGGCATTGAAAAATGTTACTGTTAAACTTCATAATGTGAGTGATTTTTATGCAGTCACCATTAAATGTCATAAAAGCCACAAATAAAGGTTTTCTAATTCAGCTCTGAGAAGTTCAGCACAGCTAACGCTTGCCAAACATTCTGCCTATCTTTGATTGAACAAAATTATATATGCAGAAAACTAAATACAACATTCATCGTGAAAGCAAGTCCCAAGACCCATAGCACACCTATGTCCCACTCTGCAATATCCTGTAGGGATATTATTTTACAATACAGGGTTTTGTTATTATTTAGGTATGATGAGGCCAGTAGACCAGGAAATAATTGCCATTGAAAAGATAGTTTGTTACTCACAGTTCCCAGAGGAAGGGAGCACATCATGGGGAAGGAGCCATATGGGGAAATGCCAGGGTCAGTGAGGAGGCAGAGAGGAGCAAGGGGAAAACAGGGAAGGAGCCTCTATTGTGGTTTCCACAATAAGAAACAGACAAGTCAGGTTAAGTGGGCTTACTATTTCCTAGTTTGAATAATTTCAGCAGGCTATGGGGCATAAGTGCTGTCTCTAGTTGTCTGGGTACCTGGCCTTGGGGTAATTAGGCCGTGCACATGGATAGTGTTCCAGAGTATGAGAGCTTAGTAAAGGTGGTGGTTGAGGTACGGGCTGTGGATTGGTTGGTCTGCATATGAAAAACACACTCCTAGGCAAGCTGTTTATCATTTCTAGGAATTTGCTAGTCCTGGGAGGGGCAGTCTCATTAGGATCAGCAAGGTCTCAGATGTCAAAGCATCAGAAATACAAAAAATAAAATGGCATAATTAATACATATGCCCAGGGTTTTCACAGTGGAGGTCTAAAAACAGATAATGTGAAAGTAGTTATATAGATGCTAAAATATTTTGACAATCAAGGCAAAGTAAATGACCTTAAATTTCCATTGCACACAGACAAGACTTCTAACTAACTTCTTGAGAAGTTAGAAGTCTTGTCTGTGTGCAATGGAAATCAAATTCACGGAAATGAGCTATATTCTTACAAATATTAAATCACTCAATAGCATTTCTGTTCACCTAAGGACTTTAGAGTTTGCCCTGGAATTCAAGTTATCCTTGTCACACTTCCTTAGCTTTGGCCAATCTGTCTGTGTCTTCAGAGCCCCATATATCTGACTGCCCACACTGTGGACTACAGTGCCGTGATATTCTCTTATGTCCCTGACTTCATTATAAGGTACAATCAAAACCTGGATTTCCCTCTCCTGTTGATTCCTGACATTGCTAACATGTGTTGCCTTTCTCTTTTTGTCAGTCTTCCTGGATATTTATCCATTTTATTGAATTAGGTCTTATTTTCATTGATTTTCCTACTAGTTTTCTGGTTTTAATTTTAAGGATTTCTATTTCATTTTTTTTCTTCTGCTTGCTTTGGGCCTATTTCTCTCTTCTTTATCTTTTCTTGAGATAAAACGTTAAACTATTTATTTGAGACTTTTCCCCCTTTTATATTCATTTCCCTTTCAGCACTGCTTTAGCTGTGTCCCACAAATTTTTATATATTTATCTTTCCATTTAGTTTAATGTATTTTTAAATTCCCTTGAGATTCCTCTTTGACCCATAGATTATTAAGAAGTGTGTTGTTAAGTTTCCAAGTGTTTGGAGATTTTTCTATTATCTTTCTGTGACTGATTTATAGTTTGTTTCATTGAGGTTAGGTAAAACATTCTACATGGCTTCAATTATTTTATATTTGCTAAAGTTTGTTTTATGACCCGGGATATGGTCTATCTTGGTATATGTTCTGTGGGCACTTGAAAAAATATATATATATTCTGCTATAGTTGAATTCAGTGCTTTATGAATATCGATTAGATCCTATTAATAGTGTTGAATTAGTTAATGGCGTTGAATTATGACTTTCTGTATAGATATCTCTATCAATTACTGAGAGAGGGATGTAGAAGTTGCCAACTAAAATAACAAAATTTTCTATTTCTCCTTTCAGTTCTGTCAGTTTTTCCTCCACTTAGTTTTGTTTTTTTCCATTCTGTTGTTTTGGTACATTTACATTTAGGATTGCTATGTGTTTTGGTGGATTAACCCTTTTATCATAACATGGTGTCACTCACTGGTTTTGGTAATGTTTTTTGCCCTGAAGTTTTCTTTAACTAATATTAATGTAGACACTCTTGCTTTCCTTTGACTGATGTTTTCATGATATATCTTTTTCCATCATTTTACTTTCAACCTCTCTATATCATTATATTTAAAGTGAGTTTTTGTTGAAAACATATAGCTTAGTCATGTTTTTAATTTATTCTACTAATCTCTACTCTTTAATTGGTATATTTTGATCATTTACGTTTAAAATAATTATTGGTATCTTAGGCATTAAGTCTACTATTTTATTTTTTGTTGACTGTTCTGCTTTCCATTTCTCTGTTTTCTTTTTTGTAGTGTCCTGTTGGTTATTTGAACATTATTTTAGAATTCTATTTTGACTTATTCATAGTGTTTATATCTTTTTGTATAGACCACATGGTCTATCCTGACACTGTGGTGGAAGTGGCCTCATTACTAATGGGTGATGGTAAAGCCTCTTCACAAGGCCTCCTCTAATACCTCAGAGCATAGAGAGAGGGTAACTTTTTTCTTTTTCTTTTTTTTTTTGAGATGGAGTTTCACTCTGTCACCCAGGCTAGAGTATAGTAGTGTGATTGTGGCTCACTGCAACCTTCACCTCCCAGGTTCAGGCAATTCTCCTGCCTCAGCCTCCCAAGTAGCTGGGATTGCAGGTACCCACAACCACACCCAGCTAGCTTTTGTATTTTTAGTAGAGATGGGGTTTCATCATGTTGGTCAGGCTGGTCTCAAACTCCTGACCTCATGTGATCCACCTGCCTCAGCATCCCAAAGTCCTGGGAGTGCCTGTTTTCTGTCAGATGACATAAGAGTCCAATGTGGGATTCATATTATTTTAAAAACCAATGTTGCATTCATTGTCACTCAAGTTGACTGTTGTTTTTTAAAAAATAATATTTATTGCTTAGAAATATAAATGCAAGCATGGAATGAAAATAATTTAGGACAATATCGTAAGTAAGTTCTAAAAAGTTATAGAAATGTATTATATTATTTTTCTTCATAAAGTCATATAAACCTATCATGTTATTTTCTTACATAAAACTCTTTAATAGCTTCCTATTTCTTATAGGATGCATAACCTCAACAATGGCATACAACCTTCTCAGTGATCTGGCCCCATCCACCACACTGGTCTCATATCCCACCATTTCTGTATATATTTTCTACATAGTTTCAAGGGCATTATCAGAATTACTCCAAGGGTATTCTTTTATTAAACTAGTTTTCCTTACTGTATTTCACTGATCTAAGAAGCCCTTGATTATGAGGCACTGCATTACTTTCTGTAAACAAGGAAGAAAAACACTATTATGCTTTATAGTATAATTATCAATTTAGTAAGATGCATCTCAATTTCAGAAATATTAAAAATAAAATACGCTTAAAAATTCATGGAATGTGGTAATTTATGAGTAGATACAAAAAAACATACAAATAGCACAGTGAATCAAACATTACTATGACATCTACCTATACATTCCTACCATATTTCATTCCCCTGTCCTCCCTTCAGAAGAAACACAATTAGAAATTTTTAAAAAGCATATTCCATTATTGTTATCATTTGCCACGTTTGTATCTCTAAGCAATATGTTGTTTAATTTTAGCATATTCTTTACATATGTTCTTTAGGTATTCTGCAATTTACTTTTTTTGCTCAGTATAATCTTCCTGAGATCTATATTGTCACTGTAGCTCATTCATTTTTGCCGTTTTAGTGTTCCATTATGCACATATAGTATAATGTTTTTACCTGTTTCACTGTTACTGTTGATGTGCCATGATGAACATTTGGATGTTTGCTTTTTGTGTGTGCTATTACAAACACGTTGCCCTTCTACTTGTCTCCTGGAGCACACGTGCAAGACCTTCTCTGGGGATTAGATCCAGGAATACAGCTGTGTCTAAACGAAGGTTTAAGCTCTTCAGTTTTACAAGGTAATAGCAAACTGCTTTCTAAAGTATTTGTAACAACTTTCCCTTCCAGCAACAACATGTAAACATTCAGGTATGCCCCAGGGTCCCACTTTCGCTTGGTTCAAACCTATTTAATCTCCCATTCTACCAAAACTCTCACGTCATTCCTTTTTTTTTAATTCTTGCAAGCATTGTTTTTTAAAAAAAATTATTTTTTTAATTGATACATAATAATTTTACAAATTTATGGGGTCCAAAGGGATATTTCAATACATACATTGTACTGTGATCAGATCAGGTCAATTAGCATGTTAATGGAGCAATCTCTTCAAGAAAGTATGTAAAGATAAAGACTTTGCAGCCAGACTGCTCCAGATTGTTCTGAAGATTAGATTAGTTAATACATATAACATGCTTAGACAAGTTCCTTGGACATCATAAATAAACAGGAAATAACTGTTGGGTGATGGTGTTGTTATATTGAATTACATACAGAACTCTGATAACACTTAGATTTTAGTATATTGTATCTTTGTCCATTTACACATACTGCTCCCTTATACTTAAATATCCTTCTCTCCCTGCTTCATCTGAATCTCATTCTTCAAGAGCAATCATATAAATCCTCAGACCCCATGCAGAATAGATCATTCTTACTTAGGGCTACCACTGCTTCAAATGTATCACTTATCACATTGCATTTGAGTCATCTGTCTACTTACTGTCTCTTCCACTACAATTTATTTCATAAAAAATACTTTGTTTTTATTCCTTATTTCCTGGTCTTTGATGAATAAATGAATGAATGATTGTGAACATTTGCAAAAATCAGTGACATCCACTCACAAATATTCATTTAGCTTTTCAAATCCAGCTGAACTACAAAGAGTTAAATTGTACATGCCATCATGCTCTCCTAACAGACTCTTATTAAAGGAATTCTACTTTTTAAATATCCTAGGATAGAAGATTCTTTAAATGTGACCTTTTTATCTGTATGCAACCATAATAACCTTTTCTCCAGCTAGCCTTGTAAATTAATATATTCTTTATTTTCCTCTTCTGTGAGAATGTCACCCTGCAGCACAACTGATTAAAAATAAACCTAGAGCATTGAAGCACCAAGTCATTTTATGGATCTCCTTTCTCCTACTCAGTCTTTAAGTTGGTAAAAAACATTGAACCCTTTGTTTCTTTTTTTTTCTTTAGATTTAGAATGAAGTAATGATTGGCTACTAGAATATTAATAGCTGCAAAACTTACACAAGTGATAAAGTCCACTGCCTTTTAACAGGAGCTCTTTCTGCTACTTCCCTTCATCCAGCCTTTGTGTGAACAGCCCTCATTCACACAGGATAACTTTGGTTATCGAACTATTACATCTAGTATTGTGCCAAATCTTCCTCCCTAGTATTTCTGCTAAAACGGCCTCAGTTTTGACATTGCCATTGGGCAGTGAGGCTAAATACTTCAAAGCAACTCTTCTCCTGCATATGACTAAGTCCTCTAATGCTTCTCCACATAACATAGAATGAGGCTGTGGTTGACTAGTGCTAAAAATGTAGCACCTGGAGTTGACCACAATACACTAGATGTGATATGAAAAGTTTTCAATGGGTTATTATTTATGCATTTATTTGACAAACATATTCTACATCTCTTGTTTCATTGTATGTTTGTATTACCATTGCTTAAGAACATATTTGATGTGTTGTGGGGAGAGGCAGTCATGGCATACCATCAACAGACATCAAGCTTTTTTTACACGTATTTATTATTATTACATTTCATCCATTTAATTTTGTATTATTATTGTTTTTTCAATACACATTTTTAATTTATATTATTTTGTCTAACACAATCATTATTTCACTTGCATTTGAGTTGCCTGAAAATTTGATGACATGAGTTCTTTAAAAGAATGTCTGATGGAGAATGCCATTTGTGTGTTTACAGCTTACCACAATGTCTAGTAATAATAGGTGTTCAATATAAATTGAATGAATTATTTCCAGAATGAATAAGTAATCTTTATACTAAAGTCAGTAAAAACAAAGCTCATCTACTTCCCTTACACATCCTTCCTTTCTCCTATTTCCCTGTCTCATAAAATGACATAATCATCTTCTCATACTATCCAAACTCTAAACCTTGAAGTCATTTTGGATTGTAGCTTTTTTTCTCACCCCCAACATCCATCTGATCATTCAACAACTCTTAATCTGCAGCATTGATTGCATCACTCTTGCCCTTTCTAGTCTAATGAGGGATGCTGTTGCAATCCTTCATTAGGAAGAGTGACATTAATAGCTTTTATTGCTAATGAGACATTTTTCTCATGATATTATAGAGTCCTTATTTTAAATTACATCCTGAATTACTGGAAGTATGCTATTTATAGAGTATTCCCTTTTCCAGACAAACTATCACATAGGTGAGTACACTTGCTTGAACAGCCACATTTAACAGCAGGAATCACACATGCCATCACAACAGTGAACTGCTAACCATGGACTCAGAGTGTTCTATATTCAGGGAAGAAACCAAGAGAATTGCTTCTAAATATCTAAAACATTTAAGCCTGTTTATCTATCTACACACCAAATGTCAAATATATTCCACATTCATTAACTGAGAGTCAACTGGGCCTAGCACTGTCCTGTTTGCAAAAATGAATAAGACACAATTCCTGCCCTCACATTCACAATCGTGGAAGAAAAACAGATATGGGGCTGGGGGTGGTGGGCAGGGATCCAACATGAGTTATCTATAGTGATGTAAATAAGCACAAAGCATAGAAAACTTTGTTCAAGTACTGAGACTTCAGGAATCACATTTTTAAAAAAGGTACAGCAAAGAAACTAATATTCATCATATTCCTCTTTTATATCAGGCTTTCTGATAAGAGTTTGTATTGTTTTACAAGTAATATGAAATATACATATAACAGATGCTAAAGATTTCTTGGTGAATACAAAAGTAATGTTGATGTTTTCAGCAAGAAAACAGTTGCAAAGATGGAATCAATGACTTCTAGTCAAGATGGAAAAGTAAGCTATACCACCCTCTGCTCCAAACACACAGCAATGATTGATAAAATGTAGAAAGATAAAGCCAAAAGGACAGAGCTGGAACAAGATTAATATCTCTGTTTTAATATGGCCTCCCATGTATGATTAAGGCTACTACCTTATTCCATGAGGCATAGTAATGGAATACAAATCAGGGAAAAGAATAATGAAACAGAGAAGAAAAAGGACTACATGGTATTAAGTATGACTGATTGATCATAAGACTGTCATCTGAGAAGCTATCTAAATGACTTCTCGATCCATGGAGGAAAGAAAAAAAATTTTTGCAGGTTCCCATCTCCTGTTGGTTGAAGTTTTACCACACATGTCTTTTCCTCTTCCACTACCCACTCCTCTCACATACTTTGGATTGTGCCTGCTTGAGACCACAGAATTACCTCCTTGTCTTCAACAAGAAGCCTAGAGGCAGGAAGTGAGGGAGGACACAGTGAGCACCACACATTTGCATGTGTGTGAAGGTTGTTGGCTTCCCAAAGAGAGTTGGTTGATGCCGCAGTGGCTCTGCCTGAAATGGGAGGCCAAATGTCCCAAAGACAATTTAAGGTGAGAGTATCTGAAATGTCTTAGAGGAGTCTGATATTATGTCTATGAACACAAAATGCAAAGTACTAAGCACAGCTAAAGCCATAGTCTACTTGGCTAGACTCCAAAATCAGTGGCCTCCAACATACATGACAATGACAATCATAAAATGCAATGCAAGATGGTATTTACACCTAAGGAAAGAAAAAGAAAGGAAGAAGAAAACAGGATGAGGAAGAAATAAGCAACGATTCAACAGTGACCACTATAATTTATTTCATCAAAAGTACTGAGGCAAAGATGGCCAAACAGGAACAGCTCTGGTCTACAGCTCCCAGCAAGATCAACACAAAAGGTGGGTGATTTCTGCATCTCCAACTGAGGTACCTGGTTCATCTCATTGGGACTGGTTGGACAGTGGGTGCAGCCCATGGCGGGTGAGCCAAAGCAGGGCAGGGCATCGCCTCACCCAGGAAGTGCAAGGGGTCAGGAGATTTCCCTTTCCTAGACAAGGGAAGCTGTGAGAGACTATACTAGGAGGACAGTACACTCCTGCCCAGATACTGCACTTTTCCCACAGTCTTCACAACTGGCAGACCAGGAGATTCCCTCTGGTGCTTGGCTCAGTGGGTCTCACACCCACGGAACCCAGCAAGCTAAGATCCATTGGCTTGAAATGCTCGTTGCTTGTGTGGCAGTCTGAGATTGACCTGGGACGCTCAAGCTTGGTGGGGGAGGGGTGTCTGCCATTGCTGAGGCTTGAGTAGGCAGTTTTATGATCACAGTGTAAACAAAGCCACTGGGAAATTTGAACTGGGCAGGGCCCACCACAGCTTAGCAAGGCCAACTGCTTCTCTAGATTCCACCTCTGTGAGCAGGGCATCTCTGAAGAAAAGTCAGCAGCCCCAGTCAGGGACTTATAGAAAAAAACTCCCATCTCTCTGGGACAGAGCACCCGGGGTAAGGGGCAGCTGTGGGAGTAGCTTCAGCACACTTAAATGTCCCTGCCTGACAGCTCTGAAGAAAGCAGTGATCCTCCCAGCAGAGCGTTCGAGCTCCGATAACAGACAGACTGCCTCCTCAAGTGGGTCCCTGACCCCCCATGTAGCTGGACTGGGAGACACTTCCTAGTGGGGGCTGATAGACACCTCATACAGGAGAGCTCTGGCTGGCATCTGTGGGTGCCCCTCTGGGACAAAGCTTCCAGAGGAAGGATCAGGCAGCAATAGTTGCTGTTGTGCAGCCTCTGCTGGTGATACCCAGGTAAACCAGGTCTGGAGTGGACCTCCAGCAAACTCCTTCAGACATGCAGCTGAGGGGCCTGACTGTTAGAAGGAAAACTAACAAACAAAAAGGAATACCATCAACATCAACAAAACGGACATAAAAATCAAAACCCCACCAGTAGGTCACCAACATCAAAGACCAAAGGTAGATAAAACCACAAAGATGGGTAGAAACCAGTGAATAAAGACTAAAAATTCCAAAAACCACAATGCCTCTTCTCTCCAAAGGATCACAACTCCTTGCCAGCAAGGGAAAAAAACTGGATGGAGACTGAGTTAGACGAATTGACAGAAGTAGGCTTCAGAAGCTGAGTAATAACAAACTCCTCTGAGCTAAAGGAGCATGTTCTAATCCAATGCAAGAAAGCTAAAAACCTTGAAAAAAGGTTAGATGAATTGCTAACTGGAATAACCAGTGTAGCAATGAATATAAACGACCTGATGGAGATGAAAAATGCAGCACAACAACTTCGTGAAGCATACACAAGTTCCAATAGCTGAATTGATCAAGTGGAAGAAACGATTATCAGTGATTGAAGACCAACGTAATGAAATAGAGCAAGAAGACAAGCTTAGAGAAAAAAGAGTGAAAAAAAAATGAACAAAGCCTTCAAGAAATATGGGACTAAGAGAAAAGACCAAATCTACATTTGATTGATATACCTGAAAGTGACGGGGAGAATGGAACCAAGCTGGAAAATACTCTTCAGGATAATATCCAGGAGAACTTCCCCCAACCTAGCAGGGCAGGCCAACACTCAAACTCAGGAAATACAGAGAACACCACAAAGATATTCCTCAAGAAGAGTAACCCCAAGACACATAATTGTCAGATTCACCAAGGTTGAAAAGAAGGAAAAAATGTTAAGGGCAGCCAGAGAAAAAGGTTGGGTTACCCACAAAGGGAAGCCCATCAGAATAACAGTGGATCGCTCTGCAGAAACCCTATCAGCCAGAAGAGAGAGGGGGCCAATATTCAACATTCTTAAAGAAAAAAATTATCAACCCAGAATTTCATATCCAGCCAAACTAAGCTTCATAAGCGAAGGGAAATAAAATCATTTACAGACAAGCAAATGCTGAGAGATTTTGTCACCACCAGGCCTGCCATACAAGAGCTCCCAAAGGAAGCACTAAATATGGAAAGGAAAAACCAGTACCAGCCACTGCAAAAACATGCCAAATTTTAAAGACTATCAACGTTATGAAGAAACTGCATCAACAAACGAGCAAAATAACCAGCTAGCATCATAATGACAGGATCAAATTCACACATAACAATATTAACCTTAAATGTAAATGGGCAAAATGCCTCAGTTAAAAGACACAGACTAGCAAATTGGATAAAGAGTCAAGACCCATCAATGTGCTGTATTCAGGAGACCCATCTCATATGCAAAGATACATACGCTCAAAATAAAGGGATGGAGGAAGATTTACCAAGCAAATGGAAAGCCCAAAAAAGCAGGGATTGCAGTCCTAGTCTCTGATAAAACAGACTTTAAACCAACAAAGGTCAAAAGAGACAAAGAAGGGTATTACATAATGGTAAAGGGATCAATGCAACAAGAAGAGCTAACTATCCTAAATATATATGCACTCAGATATATATCCTAAATATATATCCTAAATATACAGAGCACTCAGATTTATAAAGCAAGTTCTGAGACACCTACAAAGAGACTTCGACTCCCACACAATAGTAGTGGGAGACTTTAACACCCCACTGTCAATATTAGACAGATCAATGAGACAGAAAATTAACAAGGATATCCAGGACTGGAACTCAGCTCTGGAGCAAGTGGACCTAATAGACATCTACAGAAATCTCCACCCCAAATCAACAGAATATACATTCTTCTCAGCACCACATTACACTTATTCCAAAATTGACCACATAGTTGGAAGGAAAACACTCCTCTGCAAATGAAAAAGAAGAGAAATCACAACTAACTGTCTCTCAGACCACAGTGCAAACAAATTAGAACTCAGGATTAAGAAATTCACTCAAAACTGCACAACTACATGGAAACTGAACAGCCTGCTCCTGAATTACTACTGGGTAAATAACAAAATGAAGACAGAAATAAAGATGTTCTTTGAAACCAATGAGAACAAAGACACAATGTACCAGAATCTCTGGGACACATTTAAAGCAGTGTGTAGAGGGAAATTTGTAGCACTAAATGCCCATTAGAGAAAGCAGGAAAGATCTAAAATCGACACCCTAACATCACAATTAAAAGAACTAGAGAAGCAAGAGCAAACAAATTCAAAAGCTAGCAGAAGGCAAGAAATAACTAAGATCGGAGCAGAACTGAAGGAGATAGAGACACAAAAAAACCCTTCAAAAAAATCAATGAATCCAGAAGCTGGTTTTTTGAAAAGATCAACAAAATAGATAGACTGCTAGCCAGACTAACAAAAAAGAAAAGAGAGAAGAATTAAATAGATGCAATAAAAAATGATAAAGGGGATATCACCACTGATCCCACAGAAATACAAACTACCATCAGAGAATACTATAAACACCTCTACACAAATAAACTAGAAAATGTAGAAGAAATGGATAAATTCCTGAACACAAACACCCTACCAAGACTAAAGCAGGAAGAAGTCAAATCTCTGAATAGACCAATAACAGGTTCTGAAATTGAGGCAGTAATTAGTAGCCTACCAACCAAAAGAAAAAAGCCCAGGACCAGACGGATTCACAGCCAAATTCTACTGCAGGTACAAAGTGGAGCTGGTACCATTCCTTCTGAAAGTATTCCAATCAATAGAAAAAGAGAGACTCCACCTTAACTAATTTTATGAGGCCAGCATCAACCTGATACCAAAACCTGGCAGAAACAAAAAAGAGAGAGAGAGAGAGAATTTTAAGCCAATATCCCAGATGAACATCGATGTAAAAATCCTCAATAAAATACTGGCAAACTGAATGCAGCAGCACATCAAAAAGCTTATCTACCATGATCAAGCCAGCTTCATCCCTGGGATGCAAGGCTGGTTCAACATATGCAAATCAATAAACGTAATCCATCACATAAAAAGAACCAATGACAAAAACCACGATTATCTCAATAGATGCAGAAAAGGCCTTCAACACAATTAAACAGCCCTTCATGCTAAAAACTCAATAAACTAGGTATTGATGGAATGGATCTCAAAATAATAAGAGCTATTTATGACAAACCCAAAGCCAATATCTTACTGAATGGGCAAAAACTGGAAGCATTCCCTTTGAAAACCGGCACAAGACAAGGATGCCCTCTCTCTCGACTCCTATTCAATATAGTGTTGGAAGTTCTGGCCAGGGCAATCAGGCAAGAGAAAGAAATAAAGGGTATTCAATTAGGAAAAGACAAAGTCAAATAGTCTCTGTTTGCAGATGACATTATTGTATATTTAGAAAACCCCATCTTCTGAGCCCAAAATCTCCTTAAGCTGATAAGCAACTTCAGCAAAGTCTCAGGATATAAAATCAATGTGCAGAAATCACAAGCATTCCTATACACCAATAACAGACAAACAGAGAGCCAAACCATGAGTGAACTCCCATTCACAATTGCTACAAAGAGAATAAAATACCTAGGAATCCAACTTACAAGGGATGTGAAGGACCTCTTCAAGAAGAACTACAAACCACTGCTCAATGAAATAAAAGAGGACACAAAAAAATGGAAGAACATTCCATGCTCATGGATAGGAAGAATCAATGTCATGAAAATGGCCATGCTACCCAAAGTAATTTATAGATTCAATGCTATCCCCATCAAGCTACCACTGACTTTCTTCACAGAATTGAAAAAAAAACTTTAAACTTCATATGGAACCAAAAAAGAGCCTGCATAGCCAAGACAAACCTAAGCCAAAAGAACAAAGCTGGAGGCATCACACTACCTGACTGACTATACTACAAGGGTACATTAACCAAAACAGCATGGTACTGGTACCAAAACAGATATATAGACCAATGGAACAGAACAGAGGCCTCAGAAATAGCACCACACATCTACAACCATCTGATCTTTGACAAACCTGACAAAAACAAGCAATGGGGAAAGGATTCCCTATTTAATAAATGATGCTGGGAAAACTGGCTAGCCATATGCAGAAAGCTGAAACTGGATCCCTTCCTTACACCTCATACAAAAATTAAGTCAAGGTGGATTAAGGACTTAAATGTAAGACCTAAAACCATGAAAACCCTAGAAGAAAACCTAGGCAACACCATTCAGGACATAAGGATGGGCAAAGACTTCATGACTAAAACACCAAAAGCAATGGCAACGAAAGGCAAAATTGACAAATGGGATCTAATTAAACTAACGAGCTTCTGCACAGCAAAAGACACTATGATCAGATTGAACAGGAAACCTACAGAATGGGAAAAAATTTTTGCAATCTGTCCATCTGACAGAGGGCTAATATCCAGCATCTACAAAGAACTTAAACAAATTTACAAGAAAAAACAAATAACCCCATCAAAAAATGGGTGAAGGATATAAACTTATCAAAAGAAGACATTTATGCAGCCAACAAACTTATGAAAAAATGCTTCTTATCATCACTGGTCATTAGAGAAATGCAAATCAAAACCACAATGAGATACCATCTCACACCAGTTAGAATGGTGGTCATTAAAAAGTCAGGAAACAACAGATGCTGCAGAGGATGTGGAAAAATAGGAATGCTTTTACACTATTGGTGGGAGTGTAAATTGGTTCAACCATTGTGGAAGACAGTGTGGTGATCCCTCAAGGATCTAGAACTAGAAATACCATTTGACCCAGCAATCCTATTACTGGGTATATACCCAAAGGATTATAAATCGCTCTGCTATAAAGACACAAGCACATGTATGTTTATTGCAGCACTGTTCACAACAGCGAAGTCTTGGAACCAACCCAAATGCCCATCAATGATAGACTAGATAAAGAAAATGTGGCACATATACACTATGGAATTCTATGCAGCCATAAAAAAGGATGAGTTCCTTTCCTTTGCAGGGACATGGCTGAAACTGGAAACCATTATTCTCAGCAAACTAACACAGGAACAGAAAACCAAACACCACCTGTTCTCACTCATACGTGGGAGTTGAACAATGAGAACACATGGACACAGGGAGGGGAATATCACATACTGGGACCTGTCTAGGGGTGGGGGACTAGGGGAGGGATAGGATTAGGAGAAATACCTAATGTAAATGACAAGTTGATGAGTGTAGCAAACCAACATGGCACATGTATACCTATGTAACAAACCTGCACATTGTACACATGTACCCCAGAACTTGAAGTATTTAAAAAAAAGTACTGAGACAAAAATGACAAATATATAATTGCATAATATTGAGTGTTGGGTACATGAGCATTTGTTACATTCTTCTTTTTTGTTTAAGGCAGGATCTTGCTATGTTGCCCAGGCTGGAGTGCAGTGGCCAGGCACAGGTGCAATTATGGCTTACTACAACCTTGAACTCCTGGGCTCAAGGGATCCTCCCACCTAAGCCTCACGAGTGTTGGGGGAATATATGGGTTTGCCATCACACCCAGCTGTAATATTCTTTTTAACCTTCAGAAAATAACAGATGTTGGTGAGGTTGTGGAGAAAAAGGAACACTTATAATACACTGTTGGTGGGAGTGTAAATTAGTTCAATTATTGTGGAAGACAGTGTGGCAATTCCTCCAAGACCAAAAGACAGAAATGCTATTTGACCCAGCAATCCCATTCCTGGGTATATACCCAAAGGAATATAAATCATTCCATTATAAAGACACATGCACGCACATGTTCCCTGCAGCACTATTCACAATAGCAAAGACATGGAGTCAACCTAAATACCCACCTATAGAAGACTGGATAAAGAAAATGTGGTACACATACAGCATGGAATGCTATGCAGCCATAAAAAAGAACAAGCTCATGTCTTTTGCAGGGACATGGATGGAACTGGAAGCCGTTATTCTTAGCAAACTAATGCAGGAACAGAAAAGGAAATATCACATATTCTCACTTGTGAGGTAAATGACAGGAACACATGGGCACGTAGAGGGAAACAACAGACACTGGGACCTACTGAGAGTGGAGGGTGGGAGGAGGGAGAGGATCAGGAAAACTAACGGGTACTAGGCTTAATACCTGGGTGATGAAATAATCTGTACAACAAACCCCTATGACACATGTTTACCTGTGTAACAAACCTGCACTTGTACCCCTGAACTTAAGATAAAAGTTAAAGAGGAAAAACAAAATGAAATGTATCAGGACTTGTTTTACGGCCCAACATATGGCCTATATTGGTGAAAGTTCTTTAGACAAATGTGTATTTTGCCCTTAATGACCCTGATATTCTATACATGTCAATTAGGTCAAATTGTTGATGATGTTGTTTTAGTCTTCCATATTTTTCTGATTTTTTTTCTGTACATGTTCTATAAATTACTGAGAAAATGATGTTAAAATATTCTTTTTAACTTTTTGTATGTTTGAAAAGTAGCTTAATAAAATTCAATAAATTAAAATGTGAGATTATAATAATAATACTGATCATTTTAACCATACCAATTATTTCTATTTCAAAAGTGTCATAGGTCCTAAAATCATGTTTTACTTGATTATATTCTCCTTTCATTTATTTAAGTGAAAAATCAATATGATTTCAGGAATAATTTCTTGTTGACAAAAGCACAAAGGGAAAAAGGATATTTCTTAATAACGCATTTCTAACTCAAGTAAATCTTTCAGATAACCTTAAAATCAGTTTAAAAGGTGGCTTGTATAGATCCTATTACCCAGTCCCTCCTTTTTATCTAGATGGTCAGTGCTTTGCCCTATTCATGCAATTGTTTAGTACAGAAATGAAATGAGAACTCAGAACACCAATTCTTTTCATTTATATGTTCTGCCTTCATATCTCTCCAAGAGTGCTTTGATGTCATTCTATTTGAAAGTAGGAGTACAGGTGTGAAATGACTCCTCCAAACTAATACTTCGTCCACTTCTATGCTTTAATACCCTAAATCTACAGACACCTAATTTTCTCTTTCACCTTCCACTGTGCATCTTCAAAAAGAAAATGCCCGCTTTGCTGACCAATAAAAGCACTATTAAATGTTTAAACATTTCTGCTGAACAGAATTCATAACATATAGTGACCATTTAATCTGACCAATCTCCTTTTGACAACCCGAATAAGATTACATTTCTCAGTAGAATATGCATACTTCCTTTTCTTCCTCAGGCTTTCTAGGAGACATTTCCTGCCCTTGGAGATTGGGTGCAAAAAGCAAGCAAAGGAAGAGGGAGGAAAGGAAAAAAAGGGAAATACAGACATGATGACAGGGCCCATTACAGTGACTTCAAGCTCTTTGCTAAAGCGGTTGAGAAGTAGCATACCTGGAGTACTTGGCACAGAGATCAGATTGTTTTCAACAATCTCCTACTTTATACAACAAAATTATTTTCAGTAAAAATCATGAAATGGGACAAGTAATAGCCAGAAAAGATACAAAGACAGTAAATTTTTTCAATTAAATTGTATGTATTATATAATTATGTTATGCCAATGTCCTCTAAATGTGAATTTTAATAAAAGTGAACATCTAAACCTCTTAAGTCATATTGATGCAATGTTTTATGTCCTTGATTCATTTTTAGTCTTAAAGGAATTAACAAATATGAAATTTCAGTTTTAAAAATATTATTTAAATTCAATAAAATATTTCATGTAAGAAGGAAAATTTGCACTTACAAAAATATTACACCTCACATTCTGCACTGTTTCTCATTTATGCTGTAAACACAAAAAACTCCCAATCTTCAGATAGAATGACAAGATTGAAATCACTCAAGTTCAAGTTGTTATCTTTACACTTGCTGTGCCACCATTTTTTAATCTATTGTTTAAATTCAGGGATATGTGTTATCAGAGAGGTTAGAAACAAATCATGCCTTAAGCAAGTTAGAAGGACACCAAATATTTACAAACTTGCAAAGCAAGATGTGTAGATGATTTCATGTATGTCAGAGGCCAACAGTATAAATGGGAATACTGTAAGCAGAATACAATGCAGAATACAATCGTTATTAAAGGAGAGGTTTAAAATGTGATCATTTGAAGTTTAGAATGTAGACCAGTAAAATATTTTTTTCAGGGAGGAGTATTTTATCACTGATTTCATTTAGCGTTAGTGCATGGCGATAATTTTTAAATTGATTTTCAGTTCGTTTTATTGTTTTTAACTTTTCTGCAGACCATGCAATCCTTTATTTCCTATTTCTGGTAGTTTCCATTGTTCCACCTCCATTCTCGGTCCACCACTGCAAGTGAGTAGATATCTTAAAATGTTTTTGTTGTTGTTGTTTCTTGATAACAGAGAAAAATTAATACTGCAATGGACATCAAGTACCAATGGATAGTCTTTGCTAAATCCATCTTAATCTAACATATTTAAGGCACACTGAAGGCAAATAAATTGACCAGTTTGAATTTCTGGACAAATAACTAATATTAACAATAAATATATCATTTTCATCTGTCTCCATTGTCTCTTTTCCCAAAGTTTTACAATAAATATGTCTTACTTTTATAAATATTAATTTAAGGGAAAATGTGATTATAAACAAAACACAATCTCAACATAGTTCAATCCATACTATCTTCTTAACCATTTTCCTTTCATTTTTAGAAACATGTGGCAATGTTTCTTCCCACACGAAGATAGAAGGGTGTCTCTCTATCTCTAAATCCAGAATTCCCTGTGGTTCTGGACACTTCTAAAAGCCACATTGCTGACTGTACCCAGAAAATGGACTCCTTCCTTGTGAAAATGTATACCATTATTTTTTGTTTAAAATAAAAAAAAAACAAAAAACAAAGATGTATTCAAGTTAAGGTGTACTGAAAACAGAAATGTGAATGGAAATATAAACTGGGTTTTAAAAAATATTGTAGGATTCCCATTATACAAAAAGTTATTTTTAAGATGGCTTCTGGGAACACACCTCAACTAGTTAAGTAACTTTCTGGGGTGAGCATGAGTGGGACTGATGGAGAGACTTGACACATAGAAGAATGTTCGAAGATGTCTACTTTTTCATTTCAGACAAATATCCTTTACAATAGTAACTCTCAACTTGGGATGTATATTGAAATCACCTGCGAACCTTTAAAAAGTACTGATGCCTAGGTTCTCCTCACAGAGATTTTTATTCCATTGATCTAAGGTGCAGACTTGCCATATGACATTTTAACTAGCTCCTTACCATGACTCTACTGTGCTGCCAAGGTTAAGGACCATTGCTTTAGAAAATTGCTTCTCTGTCTTTTCTCTCAAGTGGAAGCTACAAAATTTCTCTTTAGAAGGAATTTAGATGAAGCAAGCTGGTGTCTGCATAGCAAATCCACAAATTTTACTTAGGGTATGCTATTTAGAGGTATTAAGGGATTTATTTTGATTAGTGGAAAACCACCCCTCCCACCAACCCCGTACATTACCCATGTAGAGAAGAACTTGGACTTCGGCAGATCTTGGATTGAATTATAACTGCAGTGGCCAACATGGTGCACTGCTCACATCTCCCCTTAAGAGGACCTGCTCGCAAGATCACAGCTGATAGGCAGCCTACTGCTGTCCACACTTTTGGATCCACCTTGGAGCTCATATCCTGTATGCTTTCATAGTGCTGCTCCCAACCAATGACTGGGCGTGGGAGGGGTATCAGAATTAGGCCACTTCTACACAGTGCAGGATTCCTGTAATAAGCTTGGGGATTCCTAAAACACCAGCCTGGCAGAGATTTATCAGAAGTGCCTTCAATCTGAGGTTCTTCCTGACAAGTGCTCCTTCCTTCTTCCTCCTTTCCTGGGTGTCAGACCCGTAATATGGTACAAGGACCCTCCTACTTCCTCCTCTATCTTTCACAGCCATTCCCCTGACAAATGTCTTGCAAATCTAATCCCATCTTTGTGTTTACTTATCTAAGAATGCAAATTGACACATGTTCTACCACTTGAAATAGGGATAATTACCTTCTATGAGCTTCAGTTTTTTCATCTGTTAAAATGAATAGAATAAAAATAAGGGATAGTGTGAAGATTGAATGAATAGACTGAATGTGTTATCAATGAACAAGGTAACCAACTTCCTAGCACATAGGAAGAAGTTAATAAACATTAATATCCCTTCTCAGCTTTCATGAGAAAGTATATTTCTCTCAAATCATTGAGCATTTTGTTCTACAACTTATCTTTTATGCACTATGGCTGCGCATAACATAGGACACATAATGAATAAGATAAGGGGTTTCTAAAGACAAATCCAGCAATAAAGATCAGAGTAAAAGGCCTATTACCCTATATGTGATATTATTCACCTGGCCTGAGACAGATGCACAAATAAAAATATTTTATAAAAATAAATCCTTGGGAAATTTTTTCTTACATATATTTTATATACATATTTATCAAATACCATATATGAAAGTGTCTGACTGCTAAACTTCCTCTCCTGTTCAGAACATGGAAAAACAAGGATGCATGAGTGCCATCAGCTAATGTCTCTGGGCCTAAAGAAGGACTCCTGCAGGTTTGTACTCAGCCTCAAAAGTGTAGATTTTCAAGAAATCACTCACAGTTCATGCAAATCCAGACAGGCTTGCTGTCAACAGAAACTTACAAGGTGCCTCCTGGCAAGGATCTTGCAGGTAAGCTAACAGCACTATCCAAAAATGATGGAGGAACGGAAATGGAAAATAGAGAATTGTATTTACTTGTTGCTTCAAAATATAAATATAAAGGGAAAACTGAATTTAAAATCCAGTCAGTTCTGCTACAATACAGTATCTGCATTCCTTAAATTACCATGCTATGCCAAGTTGCACTAAAAGAAATGGTTCATGAGAAAATGGGGTTAAAATCAGAAACATCAGTTACACATTAAAAAAATAGAAAACTAATAAAATGGTATTACAGTTTTATACACATGAAATAGTTATGAAATACATAAATACTACAATAAATATGGTGCTTTACCTTGAAAAAGACCTGAAGTTTGCAGAAGGGTTGCAGCTTATGAGTTATTATGAAATGGCAGAAGGAAGGTTATCTGAAGTGGATCTGCAAGTTCTAACACCAGATGTGGGTGGGCGTGGCTCATAATACACATAGTGAAATGAGGTAAGGGGTAGATGTTAATATGTGAGATGTGTGTATGTGTGTGTTTTATAAATTCCTATGCAGCTGGGTTCAACTGGCTACAGTTGACTGCAGTCTCTCACAAACAAAATTGTGCAGAAGCAAAGGCAAAATTTGTGTCATGCTTCAAATGCTCCTTAATATATCAATTGTGTTGGAACAATTTCAAGTTCTGCACTATAGACAAACTTACTGTATACTGTAAGTCCCAAAGGAAAATTTTTGTTTTACTGATGGGGGTATTTCATTAAGACTTAAGAGAATGCATCCCTGAACTAACCATTTAAACAAAATGGGAAAAAACAAGTTGTTGATTAATACTCAGAATTACATTTATGTACACTAAATTTATATAGAAGGACAGAGACAGAGTGGGGCTTTTTAATATTATTTTAGGCTGGGCATGGTGGCTCATGCCTGTAATGTAGCACTCTGGGAGGCCGAGAGGAGCAGATCACCTGAGGCCAGGAGTTCAAGACCAGCCTGGCCAACATGGTGAAACCCCATCTCTGCTAAAAATACAAAAATTAGCCAGGCGTGGTGGTGGGTGCCTGTAATCCCAGCTGTTCAGGAGGCTGAGGTAGGAGAACTGCTTGAGTCCAGGAGGCGGAGGTTGCAGTGAGCAGAGATCATGCCATTGCACTCCAGCCTGGGCAACATAGCAAGACTCCATCTCAGAAAAAATAAAATAAAACAAAATAATATTATTTTATCATTACTGAGAAGCGATTGTTCATCAAATAATTTTTTCACAGTATAGGCGAAAATTATTTTTTTCACATATAGGAAAAAATTATTAACTCATCTTTAGTTCCAGAAGATACATATCTCTTCTTTTCATATTCTGAGTTGATGTTGTTAAGATTTTTTTATGGTCCAGTTTTCAGCTTTGTCAGTGTCTTATGCCCTGGTAGCTTGCATTTCACATGAATCTAGGCACTCACAAACTTCTGACACTGATCATTAAGAGAAACATACTGACTTCTGGTCCCACTTAGACATTCCTTATGTTGGTGACTATGGACCATATGGCTTAGAAAGATCATTTACCATTTCAAGGCTTCTCCTAATGTAAGGAAGAGTAAAACTAGGTTTTAACCTTCCTACCAAAATCCTTATAATAGGAACTGTGGACTTCAAATTGCAATCCATTTGTACAGAATGTAAAAGCTAAAACTTTACCTTCATATGGTATTTTACAAGTTTGCCAAGTTCTTTCACAACTATTACCTCATTTAATTTAATGTAATTACATCTCCCTGTATCAATGCACACTGTGAATCATTTTCCTGTTTATTCAATTTTTTTCCATCCATGTTATTTGAAATCTTTCCAGCTTACTTTTGGAAAGCAAGACTTAACCCAGCATTTCCAGAAAAGTGTTACATTGAGTGCTTGAAGAGATCAGTTACAGCTAGCATATGTAAAGCACCTGGGGAAACCCTCTGCAGCAGAATTAAAATTGATGACGCATCAGTCAAGCCATTCAACTGGTGAGCTCCTCAATTACTTAGAACACATAAGTCCTTTGTGTTTGTTTGGTTTTTATTCTGGAAAGAAACACTTGTTTCAAGACAGTCTATCAAAGGAGGCCACAGGGGAAAAATCGAATCAGGTCATGTTGAGAGGGACTAGAACTTCACTCCTCTGCTTTCCGCAAAGAGGGGTTTATCCTAAATACGTCCAGCTTCTTGTGCACAAAGATGGAGTGAGTTACCTGACAGGTGAGTTTCAGAAAGGAACTGGAAACAAGTATCCCAGCTCTTTCTGCCATCCACCCTTGTGATCCAGCTAACTACAGAGAGCAGACATTCAGTTGTGTTATCCCAAGCCTCATGTATTAGAGGGCAGACTCTGCCTCTGCCTCTACCTACGATTGGGAAGTTGAATTCAAGACAGTGTTTAGAATATGATGCCTTGAGCCAGGAACATTAAGAGATAGATGTGGAGTGCAATTTGGGTAGCAAAACTAAAATTGAATCTTGAGGGACTGGAAGAGATCAGGCTGTGTCTTTTGTTGACCTCGGTGGTTTGCAAGGGCTTGTATTGCATTATACAACTGGTTTTCACAGCTGTTGTTGTGCATATAATCAGTGCAGCCTAAGCAGCAGCTTTAAACCTGGGGCTTTAAAAGGATGGGTCACTAGAGGATTTTGAATTTGTCGGGGACCTGTAGCTTATGGTGGCTTGTTCACGGGTGTGTGGCTATTTTTATATAGGGAGAAGCTGTTTTTCCACAAGCAAGCCTTCCCAGGCTTTAAATAAAGCCACATGGGCCAAAAAGACTTGTGGAAGCTGGCTGCTACATCAGGACCTTAAACTACCCACTGTGTGTGACAAGAGGTGAAGCAGTTTTTGTTGATTTTTCTATATTTCTAAACCATGTATGTAGGCATTGTCTTCAAAGTGCACAGGCATCTAAGTTCTATGAGTGCTTCAGAGCACATGTGTGTGAGGTCCTAACTTTACATATTTTGTACCAGACCAACTGTCTTGAAGAACACATGGAGATACCCATTCTCACTAAACCTCCCTAAGGCTTCAAATTTCAAAAATTATCAAAAACACTTTGAGTTCAAAAATTTACTGAGGGTGTCTCTCCAGCTGGACTGGTTATGAGTAGGAGGAAGAGTTCCGAGGACTAACCAATTTTATAGCAAGACCAGTGGATCCACCACCATGGCAGAGGAGAAAGTGGATAACATGTTACTAGACAGAATCCACACTACACCACCATCAGGATGCCTGAAACACATGGCCAGATAAGAATGCAGAAGCTCTTGCAAATTCCTAAGCTTACCCAGCATGTCTCAAATATCCTTTTGTAGCAGAGACCATGTGCATAGATGGATTTTTCTTCAAGATCTGGTAGTTCTCTAGTGCCAGAGGTAACGTCTTTATGGCCAATTCTCCCAGTTGAATGCAAGGTCTCCAATCATTGACTCTAAAAAACTGGCATACAGTGGCATCCTGATTAAACCAAAATCAAGACTGTCTATCCTATTCCCAGATCTCATTAAATGTCTTTTATAATCTTTGGCATCACTAAATACTGAGTTTCCCTGGGAAAACTGTTCCAGAGGCTGGAGATTCATTTTTTCTCAATCTGATGTGAGTGAGGCCAGTGTCATAATAATCTTGTAAACCCCCTTCAAAATAATGAGGCACATCAAAAATTTGGCATTGAATTCATGCAACTTCTGAAGCTGTGAAAGAACTACACCCATTCTGTGAGAAATAATCCAAGCTGCAGCTGCTGAAGGAAACTCATCCTCCCCAGCCACCAAGAATTCTCTGCTGACACTGATCAGAATGAGAAATTGGAAGCGATGTTTTTATCACTAATTTTTTTGAAATAACAAAAGTGAAATATATGTGTGTCTGGTTTTTAATTCATTTGAACTATACCATTTAAGAGTTTAAATTTGCTCTTTTATTACTGTTGAAGGATTTAATAATGGGCAGAGATTTATATAACAGTTTAGGACATCTAGTTTTGGCATACTATTATTGGGATGGCCTCATGTAGTCATTAAATATCATTGCAAAATTTCTAATAAGCTTGGACAATTTAGATGGATATCATTTGGATTGAGAAGAGAAAGGAGAGAGAATTTTCAGCTCTAGTATAGACTGACCTTTTTGGATATTTCCAAGAGAAAATGTTGTCTCTATCACCAGTGGTCCCAGGCAGAGCCACCAGAAGTCAGATATCAGTGGTAACCATCTGCTTTCTACAGACCTGATGATTAGGTTCCATAATATAAGAAAACAAGCACCTGGAGAATATTTTGGGGGCTGGGGGTAAGGACAGTTATTTGCTTTTTCTCAGTTTTCTGTAATGGGGTTTTCCCAAGGTTTCTCACCCTAGAAACGTGGAGTCAGTTACTTAATTGATAAGTTTGGGAGAGGAACTAAGTAGGCATAGCTCAGCCCTTTTTTGTTGTTGGAGTCTCACTCTGTCACCCAGGCTGGAGTGCAGTGGCGCAATCTCGGCTCACTGCAAAGCTCCGCCTCCAGGGTTCATGCCATTCTCCTGCCTCAGCCTCCCGAGTAGCTGGGACTACAGGCACCCGCCACCAAGCCCGGCTAATTTTTTTGTATTTTTAGTAGAGACAGGGTTTCACCGTGTTAGCCAGGATGGTCTCGATCTCCTGACCTCGTGATCCGCCCGCCTCAGCCTCCCAAAGTGCTGGGATTACAGGCCTGAGCCACCGCACCCGGCCAGCTCAGCCCTTTTCCCTCCACATTTCTGAGGGAGCCAGCTACCCTGAAAGTGTATACATGTTCCACCTAGCCTTTAGCTATAGCGGAGGCAGACTGTCACCCAGGAGATTCCAAGTTTACTCTGGCTGGGCCTGCAGTTTGTTATTAGGATGCCCATTATTGCCACATCCATAAGGCACATTCTCCAATATTAGTTTTTTATCAATCATAAGGAATAAAGGGATATGTTGATCTCTCTAATCTCCATCTATCTTGCCTCATACATACAGATAATGTTGGAGTGTGTGTGTGTGTGTGTGTGTGTGAGAGAGAGAGAGAGAGAGATCAGCTTAGACAGGGAAACCAAGGCTGTCGTTTATTGGGCTTGTTTAAGGGTGTACAAGGCAAAAGAAGAGGACTTCCTAACAATACTTAGTCCAGCGAGGTAATAAAAGCCTAGATCCAAGGTTTGAGAGCCATGGAGCTATACCAAAGGGAGCTACTGAAAAACATTGCTTCCCTCAATTTATCAAATGAGAAAATATGAGCAAAAAAGAACAGTTCCAAGTTTAGTATTTCCAATTTCACATCCACTGTGGTTTTAAGTTTATATAGTGGACCCCATGGAATTATTTGAGCATCTGAGCTTAAGAAGCCAAGAATACAATGTGCCTTAAAGCAGGAATTGAGTCATATAAAAGGCATGAAGAAATCAAAAGCAAAAGCACAGCTGTAGGGTGTTGGCAGTGACAATCTGTACACAACATTGGAAGATGAGCTACCTCTTCCTTTCTCCCCCATCATCACACATTCAGCATCTCTTGTCAGGCTGAAACATGCAGTATGGTCATTTGAAGGGAGCAATGTGTAGAATTAGAAGTCAGAGCGCTGGTGCAGGGTATTTCCCCAATAGTATTTAATGAATCTTATAAAGTCCATTTTCATGACCACATTGACAGACCATGGCAACAGTTTTGTTGGTCTTTATAATTTAGGGCATTTTTTTTGTATGTCACTCAACAATCCTCTGATATGAACAAAAGAGACACTATTCTTTCCTATAAGATAAAAACAAATAAAAAACTGAAGCTTGGATAAACCATATCTATGGTTTACCCAAGATAAAGTCATTAGCCAACAACTTAGGAACAGATCAGAACCAGAATGCTAACTGCCCCCCACCTTCCAATTCAATATTATTTTCTGTAATCTATGTTTTATACAGCTGGCAAATTAAAATAGAGGTATTTTCTCAGTAAAAATTCAGTCCAGGTTTGACAGTTCCCCTTCTAATCTACTGTATGGACTATTTAGCCAACTGTCCTGTGCTAGGAAAGTACTCCCCAGCATGGACAAGGATATAACCCCGTTTGATTTCATTTATATCCCAAAGTGGAGTTAAATAAACAGAAAGACATGATCTACATTAATGAAAAAAGATAGATGGAAATTTTTTGTGTGTTTTAGAGCCACTTAAATGTTGCCAGTCTCAAATTATCTGTACAAGATTTAAAGTATGGAGTTGAAAAACATAACAACAGTGAAAAAAATCGGAATATACTGACTCCTCCCCTTCTCCCACCACCAATAACTACCTAACTTACAAAACTGCTCCTAAAGATAATCATACAAACAAGCTATAAACGCTGAATTAACACCGAAAATTAAAGTAGGGTAAGACAGAGAATAAAAAGATACTCTCTGACATGACTTCTTAAAGTTGTAATTAGACATATGTGAGTGTGTGAAATACACACACCACACACACACACCCCATGCACCACCCCAGTGACCAAATTCTTGTTTAATCATCAAGTACAACCCAGACTTGATTAGTTACCTAGGGTAGAGGAAACTCAAAAGACTTGAGGAGCTAGACTCTTTCAGATAATTTTGTCTGAAACTTTTTAGTGTTCCTTTCACTAAGGGAAGACAAATCAGAAACCCTTTTCCCCAACTCTTATATTTTTGAAGTAATACGTAGTAGGACAAAAATCTCTCAGGAAGCTAACTCTTCTATCAGGGATCAAAAATGAGAACATCCAGGTTTTGTATAATTCACATCTATTACACAACTAGGATTCTTTATGTCTCCCATATATTTATTCCTCTCACTCAACTACTGACAATCTTCTTTCATCTCATTACCTCATGGTCAGCTGAAAAGACAATGGTTAATTTGCAGAAATATTTTGACTCGACCCATGCTGACTATGTTTCATCCTTAGATAATTGCCTCCACAAAGATGCACTTGCCATTGAGTATGAGCTATAGACTAAAGGCCGTTATTCATAATTGAGGTTGACGCTTAACACAACCTCTCACCAACATAACATTTACTTTACACTCAGAGTAACAAAAAGGAAGGTCACAGGCTTAGTTTACCTGCACCTCAGCCACCTGAATATATTTGTGACCTTTGATTCACTGAAACATTATTTTTCAGAGAGCAAAATCATACAAAATGATCTTCATTTTCACTAACCCTTATAATTAAAAACTACCAAAGACAGAATAATATCCTTATACCAAACTTAAAACAACAGAAGTCTAGCAAAAACACAGCACACGTATTAAAGCCAGCTTATATCTCATAAGAAAGTCATTTACCCTCACAATTTTGTTTAGTAAGAAATATTGACAATTTTTTCCTAATAGAATGGGTATGAACCTTTACTGAAATAAAAGACTAGGATTTTATTTGAATCAACTTTTGTAGCTTACCTAAGCTATTCCTATTTACTTCCTACATAAGCGAAAGAAAATGAATAAATTGTATCCGGATACTCACAGCAGAGATCTCAGTTCTAGTCCCTAACATCAGACGTCGCGGCTGCAGACTGAAAATGTTACTGTAAGGAAGTACTTGTATTTTTCTAGCAAAGTAGCACCCTCTAGTGGCTTTTCAAAAATATGAAGGAGTACACGCCAAACGTGACATAATTTGTTTACTATCAAATTATGCAGTGTCAAAACACTCAGGTGAGAACAAAACCTTGCCCTTGGCATAACGGGAAGCATATTCCAACCTTGTTCTGTGTTGTTCTAGGGAGGCAAAGATGGTTAATCATCCTATTGCACATCTACAGTGTGCCTCTGAGAAAAATATGCCCTTCCCTGATAATAGTTTATTATTTTTCCATTATTAGTATTATGGTGCTATTACTATCATTATTGCTATTAATATTAATAGAAAATTACCATTTACTGAGTATTTACTACATGCCAGAAAATGTATTCATTGTTTTACATTCTTTACCCCATTTAAAATTCACTATGAGTATATAACCTAGTCTTTATCCTCATCTGGTTTTATTGATTAAATAGTCGAGGCCCATATGTGTAGTATGAGTTGCCTAAGAGAATAAGAAAAACTAAGATTCAAACATATCTTTATAAATTTGCAAGAACTCTCACAAGCCTGATTTCAACAAGCAGAAATTATCAATAGTTTTTACATGTATCCAGCCTCAAAGTATAAATCCAAAGAAATAATTCAATAACAATGAAATTAACTGGAAAATTTTAGCTAACACTTAGTTAAAATTTTAATTTAAGTTTGGGTTATAAATACAACCATTTCCCATAGTAAGTAAAAGTTAAATACCGATTCTTAGACAGCAAGGCAATAGTCTCTAGGAAGCCAGTTTAGTTCCCCCTGGCTCAGTCATGGTATTTTATTAAAATCGAGAGAGGTATATTTGTTCAGGTAGGCATTCAACAGACATTCATTGAATGCCTCTAGGAACTCTAGTTTTGATTGCCAGTGATCCAAGACCTTTGCACAAAGCAAGTGCTGTGTGAATACCAAGGAAGACCCCTGAGCTAAAAAGTATATATTTTTTATGGCTTCAAAATGTATATATTCCATTTTAAATGTCATTTGTCTGATCCCAGCAAATAAACACTTTTGATATTTACATAAGGTTTGAAGGAACTTAGAGACACAAACAGAAAAGAATATTTATTAAGTATCTGCCAGGTGCTAGTTAGTAGTCTATGCCCTTTACATATATCACTATGGCAGAGACTGCTAACTGTTCACCAACCATTTCCTCTTCTTATTAAGCACATAGCCAGACTACATTTACAGCCAACATTGACTCAAGTATGACCATGTAACGGGATTCTAATCAGAATCCAGTACTGTGAGCAAAAGCAATGTGTACCACTTCCATGCATCGCCCATGACAAACCTCCCTTTCAGGATCTTTCATGTTCTTTTGCCCTTCTGGATGACTGGAATGGATATATCCCACAGGCAACCTTGGAAGCCACATACTGCAGACAGCAGAGCCACAAGATGGAAAGAGGCAGCTTCGTCTCTGAGTCACTGTTTGGAATAAATGTACCTGACAATTAAGAGCATCTGTTTTGTAGTTTAGGTAAGAAGTAAACTTCCATAAATTTTGAGTTATTATATAGTTTTGCATTTGACTATTGGTTACAACAATAAGAATTACATTAATGCGATGATCTCATTTAATCTTCACAGCAAACTTAATAAGTTTATTGTAGGCTTATCCCTCATTTCACAGATTAAAAAAGTGAGGTATAAATAGTTTAATAACTAGCCCAAGTATTCACAACTAGTGGAATTCAAAGCTTGATCAAACCCAGATCTACCTTACTCCAAAATACATGCTCTTTTCTCTTTCTTATGCCAACAGTCCATCCTGTTGCCTCTTTTTTCTAGCAATCTTGCCACCTCAGCCCCTCAAGTAGCTGGGACTACAGACATGTTGCCTGGCTAATTGTTTAAAAATTTTTTAGTGATGGGATCTCACTATATTGCCCAGGCTGATCTTGAACTGGCCTCAAGCAATCCTCCTGCTTTGGCCTGCCAAAGTGCTGGGATTACAGGTGTGAGCCATCATACACAGCCCCACTGCTTATGAAACTAGCATGTTCCTTTGTATTAGTCAACTAATACATTGCTATAACAAATGACCCCCAAATCTGAGCTGTCTATTTTTATTTATTATTTCTCATTAATGCCTGTCAGCCTCAATTCACATTAATTCACACTGAAAGTCTTCTTCATCCTGGTACCCAAACTGAAGCAGCAGCCCTTATTTTTATCACATGGCAGAGGAAGGAGAATAATGAGAGAACTACATGATGGTTCTTAAAGCTTCTATCAGAAAGTAGTCCATGTTACCTCCACTCACATTTCATTGGCCTAGCAAGTCATTTGACCAAATCTGATATCAACAGAGCCAGGAAGCATAATCCTCTTACAGAAGAGTGGAAAAATAATTTAGAAAAAGAGTATGTTCAACCATACCTTCACTCTTGGAAACTAAAAGTTAAGAGAAATGTTATGAGAAAGTTAGAAACAATTAAGAGAAAATAAGTTGTGATCAAACTATTAAAAAGAGTAAGAGAGGCAAAATATCAACGAGATGATATGTTCTCCTTTAATCACCAGCAAAAAAAAGTAATAAAGCTAAGAATTAAAAGATATGACACGAATCCAACTTACACACCTGAACAGAAGTTAGATTTCTGAGTCATCTCAATGGCTGCTTAAAACACACACACACACACACACACACACACACACACACATACACTCTCTTAGCTATTTTAAACTATATGTCGTAGACTAACTCAATGTCAACAAAGAGAATATGGTATTAAATACACAAAACAAGTAGCCAAAGATGTGTTTGGCAATTAAGAAATACCAATGAGAATGGGAAAATGAGATAAAAAGTACACAACTTTCCTTATAAAGCCACAGACAAGCACATATGAGTTCAGTTCTGGCAGATGACATTCGCTAGTCATTTCTTTATCTCACAGATCTAGACCTACTTCTTTTAAGTATGGTCAATCTGTCTCGGGTTATAAGTGGCTTTATTAAATCAGACATATTGATCCAAATCTTTCATCTCAAATCTTTAAAATATTTGATGCAATTTGCAGGCAATAATAGCCAGTCAAACACAGAAGAGGCATTGTCTAATTCTGATTAACTCATCTCTGTTGCCTTATAAAACAAGTTGATCTGAGCATCACTATCTTCTCTGAAATCATCTTGCTTATTCTAGTTGCACTGAACAGTTGATAAATGGATGAGTGAATGAACAAAACGAAAATTCTCCACTTCCCAGCATTTTTTACTTATATACTTAATACTTAGGAAGTTCTAAAGTGAAACTCAGTGTCATACGTTCTTTCAAACACAGTAAAGAAATTCATGACACCTATATCGTGAAAACATTAGTGAGCCAGAACTAAACATTAATTTCTAATAAATGGATAGAAATAAGCAATAAATCAACAATTGAACAGTCAAATTGCTGAATTGTCAAATACGGCAATCATTTGTGGAACACCTATGGATTAGGTGCAATTATATTTTTAATGTGTATACTCACCGTCAGACTGAAGCATCCTGAAAGCAAAGCCCATGTCTGTTTCACTTTACATATTCTTAGGACTTAGCCTAGAAGCTACCACCAGAAAGAGCTCAATGACTGCTGAACAGGATAAATGAATGTAAGAATGGCTCTATGACTACTGATTTCACATAATTTACCTTTGTTAGTCTTCAGAATGTCTCTGGAGAAGGGTTTCTTGATCCCAATTTTAGTAATGAAGGAACTGAGGCTAGAGGAGTAAGATGAGTTGACTAAGTTTTCATAACTAATAAGCAGAATCAAAGTGAAAAAAATAGTAGGTAAATATATAGTTTTTTGCCAGAAATAAGTGGCTGACTTAATAAAAGCAGTCTTACTAGATTGGTTAAGGTAGAAAGCAAGATAAAGGACACACAATAGTGAGTCTATATAAAATGGAGCCAGATATTCAATGAATCTTTTCTGTAATGAATAATGGAAGCTTACCATAAAAACAATGTACAGCGAGTGGGATTACAAATATATTTATAGAACTAAGAATGTATGTATGATTAAAGGCAGCAGATACAGGTCCTGACAATGTCAGAAATTATAGGAATTAGAGAATTAAATTTTTATAGAAATAAGACGTATCATTAAAGATGTTTCTTTAGACCACAGAGAAGTGCATGTGTCAGATATGTCACATGTACAAACTTGCTGCTACATACCAGGCAATGGCAAGATTAGGTCCCTTAGTTCTGCATCTAGAGCTCTGATTTTCCCATTGGTTTGTGTGTGCCTTCTTGTGACACATTAGAGTAAGGGCTTAATAATTGCCTCAAAATGATAAAGAGGAAAATAAAGTGAAAAATATTAAATAGTTACCTTACCTTGGCTATACAAACGTCTTCCCAGATTATCTAAATAGTCCACAAAAGACAGTTCTTTATGGATAAATTCTAGCTAAGAAATACAAATGGAATGATAGAATTAAAGGATAACCCTTTTGCAACCCTAATGAAATAATCCATCTAGATAATAATTAACGGCTACTAAAGCCATTACCTGAAGGACTGGTGGGAAAGTTGTGATGGATGGATCAGCTGACATCATCTGAACCCACTGATCAATCTTAACATCACAAAAAGAGACAACCAGACATTATGAGCCTTCTGATGTGATTCAATAAGAAGTACAGAGCAGCACTAATGAAATGTTCTTACCAAAAGGCAAACAAGAATCTGATCAAGCCTCTAGGTCTAACTACTCTTTTACAGAAAATCCAGAGGATGAGAGAAACATGCTAAATTAAGCCTCCTATAATGCAAGCAGCTAAAATCAGGATGTGGGAAATTCTAAAAACAAGTGACCTGTTTCCTTCAACAAGTAAATGGCAAGGGAAAAAAATAAACAAGAAGGAAGAACTGTTAGTAAAAAGTCATAATGTGCTCTTCCAGCGTATAAGAAAAAAAGCACACCAAGCAATGTGGATCTTGTTTGGGACCTGATTCAAAATGATACTAATTGATGGAACTAGAGGACACTATTCTCTGTGAATTAACTCAGAAACAGAAAGTGAAATACTGCGTGTTCTCACTTATAAGTGGCAGCTAAACAATGGGCATACAAAGTCAAATTAAAGACACTAGAGACTACAAAATGTAGGAAGGTAGGAAGAGGGTAAGGGTTGAAAAAGTACCTATTGGATACAATGTTCACTATTGAAGTGATGGGTACAGTAAAAGCCCAGACTTCACCACTACACAATATATGCATGTAAGGAACTTGCACTTGTACCCTGTAAATACATTTAATATGTTAATTAATTATTTTTTAAATGATAACTGTAAACAGACATTTATGAGATAATCAGAGAAATTTAGATACTAAATGGATAGTTGGTGATATTAAGAAATGATTGTTAATGTGAGAGGTATAATTATGTTAAAAATAGTCCTTATTTTTCACAAAAAGTGCTATCTGAATTTTAACAGATGAAATAATATGCCATCTGAGATTTGCTTCAGTATCTGTCGTGGGAGGGAAGTATAAGGAATATTGTTGGAACAAAATTGGTTGTATGTTGGTAATTTTTGAAGTTGGGTGATTAGTTGTTTTTACTATTCTCTGTACTGTTTTTATTTGAAATTTCCATAATGAATGATAGAGATCACCTAATAAATTTTATAGAGAATCTGATATCTCCATATGATAAACTGAACTTCTTTCAATGTGTTGTGAAGGAACAAGGTGTAGCATTATAGTAACTTGTTGAGTCCCCATCCCTAGAAATCCAGACTTAGATTCATGAACCATCTCGCTAGAAGAGTGAAAGACATTTCTTAGGGCCGGGCGCAGTGGCTCACGCCTGTAATCCCGGCACTTTGGGAGGCCGAGGGGGTGGGGGGTGGGGGGGGGGGGGGGCAGATCGCAAAGTCAGGTGTTCGAGACCAGCCCTGCCAATATAGTGAAACCCCGTTTCTACTAAAAATACAAAAATTAGCCTGGTGTGGTGGCGCACAACTGTAGTCCCAGCTACTTGAGAGGCTGAGGCAAAAGAATCACTTGAACCGGGGAGGCAGAGGTTGCAGTGAGCTGAGATCGCACGACTGCACTCCTGTCTGGGCAACAGAGCGAGACTCTGTCTCAAAAAAAAAACAAAAAACAAAAAACATATTTCTTTATTTAAATGACATTTCTTTCTTTAAAACAATACCCAGAGAGTAATGTTTTATGACTAAGCTCCTCTTGTCACTGATACACTGGCTGATTCGGATCTTCTGAAAACCGTCTTGACTTTCCTGAGTCTTATGTAGACTGCCACCTTTCATCTACCTCTGTCTATCTCTTGGCTGTCATTCTGGCCTCCCTTTTGACAATAATACTTGGAGTATCTATGTCACAGAATCTGTGCTCATGATGAGGATAGCATTGTCTTATTTGAACGGTCATTGGCTTGACCTACCTAACCTGCCTAAATATTGCTGACCTCTGAGACTTTCCAAATAAAACCTGCCTACCAAGAGTCAGGATTACTTTTTTTTTTCTTACTGCTCTTTGCCTAATTCTGCAATCTTGCCACCAATTTCTATCACTAGTGATTTTTAGTGGTTAACTATTTTTCCAGATCTATTAATTACATACCTTTGCATATAAATGTTCTGAATATTGAACAGAAGCAGAGATAGATTCTACCTTTTGGAAGAGTGAGCAAATAAAAAGGCACGACTTCATTATCACATTTCTTACTTGTCTTGTAGCCAAAAAGCAACCACTTGTGCTGCTTTTGTAGGGGAGTTGGTGTGGGGAGGTACCCGCTCCCCTTGCCGCAAACTCATGACCTATTGTCATTGTAACCCTGAAAAACAGTTCAAAACTAAGCACTATAAACCTATTACAACTACCTTGGTGCCATCCAGACGTGTGGGAGACTCTAGGAAGCATTTGGTCACGGTGGTGATGATGATGTACTACAAACCTAACTGTTTTGCCACCACCATTGTCACCCAATTCTTCTGTATATCATTTCCATTAACTTCAAGGGGATCAATATGAGGAAAATGATGCCCCCAAGATTTTGCCCTCTGTTTTTTCAAGAATGTTTAATTTAGCATGACTGGCAATGGACTTCAGTGGGAAGGCCCTTTTGACTCTAGGGAAAGGTAACAGTTCACCTGTTCATATTCTTCATCTGCAGTAGGAAGTATCAGGAAGAAATTGCTCAGCCAATTTGGCAGCCACAGATACACAGGGCTTCCTTTCATGCAAGCCTTGGAACTGAAATACTTTTTTTACTTGGCAAATACTGTAATGCTGCATATACCTGAAAGAGCCTTTGGGAGGCTTGTAAACCAGATATTGGGATAGATAATATGGTATGTTGTAACATTGAAAAGGAAATTATAGCTTAAATTTCATAGGAAATTGGTTGTTCAAATCCACTATTATAAAAACCTGGAGAACACCAACAGATTCACAATTTCTTAGGCTGCAAGTCAAATGAGACATGAAGTTGAAGAGACCATAAAGAAAATAGCTGAAATTTATACCTCTGGTTCTATATCAACTTGTATTTTTCCTGGGTAGGAATATTTACAAAGTAGGATTGATTAAGTTATCTTGGAAGAAATACTGTGTAATTTATAAGCATATATCACATTTAGGTTTTTTTTAAATTATACTTTAAGTTCTAGGGTACATGTGCACAACGTGCAGGTTTGTTACATATGTATACATGTGCCATGTTGGTGTGCTGCACCCATTAACTCATCATTTACATTACGTATGGCTCCTAATGCTATCCCTCCTCCCTCCTCCCTCCCCCCACCCCACAACAGGCCCCAGTGTGTGATGTTCCCCTTCCTGTGTCCATGTGTTCTCATTGTTCAATTCCCACCTATGAGTGAGAACATGTGGTGTTTGGTTTTTTGTCCTTGCGATAGTTTGCTGAGAATGGTTTCCAGCTTCATCCATGTCCCTACAAAGGACCTGAACTCATCCTTTTTTATGGCTGCATAGTATTGCATGGTAGATATGTGCCACATTTTCTTAATCCAGTCTATCATTGATGGACATTTGGGTTGGTTCCAAGTCTTTGCTATTGTGAATACTGCCGCAATAAACATACGTGTGCATGTGTCTTTATAGCAGCATGATTTATAATCCTTTGGGTATATATCCAGTAATGAGATGGCTGGTTCAAATGGTATTTCTAGTTCTAGATCCTTGAAGAATTACCACACTGTCTTCCACAATGGTTGAACTAGTTTACAGTCCCACCAACGGTGTAAAAGTGCTCCTATTTCTCCACATCCTCTCCAGCACCTGTTGTTTCCTGACTTTTGAATGATCACCATTCTAACTGGTGTGAGATGGTATCTCACTGTGATTTTGATTTGCATTTCTCTGATGGCCAGTGATGATGAGCATTTCTTCATGTGTCTGTTGGCTGTGTAAAGGTCTTCTTTTGAGAAGTGTCTGCTCATATCCTTTGCTCACTTTTTGATGGGGTTGTTTGTTTTTTCCTTGTACATTTGTTTGAGTTCTTTGTACATTCTGGATATTAGCCCTTTGTCAGATGAGTAGATTGCAAAAATTTTTTCCCATTCTGTAAGTTGCCTGTTCACTCTGATGGTAGTTTCTTTTGCTGTGCATAAGCTCTTTAGTTTAATTAGATCTCACCCCAAATCAACAGAATATACATTCTTCTCAGCACCACATTGCACTTATTCCAAAATTGACCACATAGTTGGAAGTAAAGCACTTCTCAGCAAATGTAAAAGAACAGAAATTATAACAAACTGTCTCTCAGACCACAGTGCAATCAAACTAGAACTCAGGATTAAGAAATTCACTCAAAACCGCTCAACTACATGGAAACTGAACAACCTGCTCCTGAATGACTACTGGGTACATAACGAAATGAAGGCAGAAATAAAGATGTTCTTTGAAACCAATGAGAACAAAGACATAACATACCAGCATCTCTGGGACATATTTAAAGCAGTGTGTAGAGGGAAATTTATAGCACTAAATGCCCACAAGAGAAAGCAGGAAAGATCTAAAATTGACACCCTAACATCACAATTAAAAGAACTAGAGAAGCAAGAGCAAACACATTCAAAAGCTAGCAGAAGGCAAGAAATAACTAAGATCAGAGCAGAACTGAAGGAAATAGAGACACAAAAAACCCTTCAAAAAATTAATGAATCCAGGAGCTGATTTTTTGAAATGATCAACAAAATTGACAGACCACTAGCAAGACTAATAAAGACGAAAAGAGAGAAGAATCAAATAGACGCAATAAAAAATGATAAAGTGGATATCACCACCGATCCCACAGAAATACAAACTACCATCAGAGAATACTATAAACACCTCTACGCAAATAAACTAGAAAATCTAGAAGAAATGGATAAATTCCTGGACACATACACCCTCCCAAGACTAAACCAAGAAGAAGACCTGAATAGACCAATAACAGCCTCTGAAATTGAGGCGCATAATTAATAGCCTACCAACCAAAAAAAGTCCAGGACCAGATGGATTCACAGCCGAATTCTACCAGAGGTACAAGGAGGAGCTGGTACCATTCCTTCTGAAACTATTCCAATCAATAGAAAAAGAGGGAATCCTCCCTAACTCATTTTATGAGGCCAGCATCATCCTGATACCAAAGCCTGGCAAAGACACAACAAAAAAAAGAGAATTTTAGACCAATATCCCTGATGAACATTGATGCAAAAATCCTCAGTAAAATACTGGCAAACTGAATGCAGCAGCACATCAAAAAGCTTATCCACCATGATCAAGTGGGCTTCATCCCTGGGATGCAAGTCTGGTTCAACATATGCAAATCAATAAATGTAATCCAGCATATAAACAGAACCAATGACAAAAACCACATGATTATCTCAATAGATGCAGAAAAGGCCTTTGACAAAATTCAACAGCCCTTCATGCTAAAAACTCAATAAATTAGGTATTGATGGGACGTATCTCAAACCCACAGCCAATAACATACTAAAAGGGCAAAAACTGGAAGCATTCCCTTTGAAAACTGGCACAAGACAGGGATGACTTCTCTCACCACTCCTATTCCACATACTGTTGGAAGTTCTGGCCAGGGCACTCAGGCAGGAGCAAGAAATAAAGGGTATTCAATTAGGAAAAGAGGAAGTCAAATTGTCCCTGTTTGCAGATGATATGATTGTATACTTAGAAAACACCATCGTCTCAGCCCAAAATCTCCTTAAGCTGATAAGCAACTTCAGCAAAGTCTCAGGATACAAAATCAATGTGCAGAAATCACAAGCATTCCTATATACCAATAACAGACAAACAGAGAGCCAAATCATGAGTAGTGAACTCCCATTCACAATTGCTTCAAAGAGAATAAAATACCTAGGAATCCAACTTACAACGGATGTGAAGGACCTCTTCAAGGAGAACTACAAACCACTGCTCAATGAAATAAAAGAGGACACAAATAAATGGAAGAACATTCCATAATCATGGGTAGGAAGAATCAATATCATGAAAATGGCCATACTGCCCAAAGTAATTTATAGATTCAATGCCATCCCCATCAAGCTACCAATGACTTTCTTCACAGAATTGGAAAAAACTACTTTAAAGTTCATATGGAACTGAAAAAAGAGCCTGCATTGCCAAGTCAATCCTAAGCAAAAAGAATCACAGGCATCACACTACCTGACTTCAAACTATACTACAAGGCTACAGTAACCAAAACAGCATGGTACTGGTACCAAAACAGAGATATAGACCAATGGAACAGAACAGAGCCCTCAGAAATAATACCACACATCTACAACAATCTGATCTTTGACAAACCTGACAAAAACAAGAAATGGGGAAAGGATTCCCTATTTAATAAATGGTGCTGGGAAAACTGGCTAGCCATATGTAGAAAGCTGAAACTGGATCCCTTCCTTACATCTGATACAAAAATAAATTCAAGATGGATTAAAGACTTAAATGTTAGACCTAAAACCATAAAAACCCTAGAGGAAAACCTAGCAATACCATTCAGGACATAGGCCTGGGCAAGGACTTCATGTCTAAAACACCAAATTAGATGTTTACATATATTTCTACTTTCTTCTAATATTCTCATGTCCAAAGCCACTATGAGGAACTGCCTTTAAAAATGAATTAATTTGCAGCTGGGTGTGGTGGCTCACACCTGTAATCCCAGCACTTTTGGAGGCTGAGGCAGGCGAATCATGAGGTCAGGAGATCAAGACAATCCTGGCCAACATGGTGAAACCCCATCTCTACTAAAAATACAAAAAATTAGCCTGGTGTGGTGGTGCACGCCTGTAGTCCCAGCTACTCAGGAGGCTGAGGCAGGAGAATCGCTTGAACCAGGAGGCAGAGGCTGCAGTGAGCCTACATCACACTACTGCACTCCAGCCTGAGCAACAGAGCAAGACTCTGTCTCAAAACAAAAAAAAAAGGATTAATTCCAAAGACCCACTTGGAGCTTGGGATTTGTGGTCAAACCTTAGAATGTGCAATTTGCCTAATTCTAAAGAATTAATATCTCACAAATATTTGGCAATAAAGAAAGTAATGTGGGATAAGTTCTGTACCAATAGTCAAGAGACTGTGTCTCTATCCCTGGTTTAACTATAAATCAGCATGAGATTGGATCAGCTAATTAGTATTTCTGAACTTCAGTTTCATTGCATTTACAGTGTTGGATTTGTATATTCTGCTTCCAAAATGATTTGCATGACTTTATAAATTTAAAACTTTGTAAAGGTATTCTTGTCTAAAAAAATTCAACACAGAATGACTTGTTATGACTTTAATGTGCCTCCCAAAGCTCATGTGTTGGAAACTCAGTCACCAATGCAACAGTGTTGAGAAGTGAGACCTTTAAGAAGTAATTAGGTCATGAGGGCTCTGCCCTCATAAATGGGTTAATGCTGTTACTTCAAAAATGGGTTAGTTATCTCAGGAGTGGATCTTACTGAAAAATGAGTTTGGCCCTCTTCTCTCTCTCTCTCTCTCTCTTTCTTTCTCCCTTCCTCCCCCTCCCTTTCCCCCACCCAGCCTTTCTCTGTCTTGCCTGAACATGTGCACATGAGTGCACACATATATATACATGCTCTTTTGATCATTCTGCCATGCGATGATGTAGCAAGAAAGCCCTTATCACATGCATTCCCTTGATCTTGAACTTCCCAGCCTCCAGAACTGTGAGAAATAAATGTTTTTTCTTTCTAAATGACCCAGTCTGTGGTATTCTGTTATAGCAATACAAAACACAAACTAAAACCATGTATGAGTTCGTTCTCACACTGCTATAATGAAATACCTGAGACAGGGTAATTTATAAAGAAAAAAGGTTTAATTGGCTCACAATTCTGCAGGCTGTACAGAAAGCATGGCAGCATGAACTTGACTTCTAGGGAGGCCTCAGGAAACTCACCGTCATGGTGGAAGGCAAAGGGGGAGTGAGCACTTCACACAGCCAGAGCAGGAAGAAGAGTGGGGAGGTGCTATGCACTTAAAAACAATGAGATCTCATTATAACTCACACACTATTATGAGGACAGCACTGAGGGGATGGTGCTAATCCACTCATAAGAACTTGCCTCCATGATCCAATCACCTCCCACAAGGCCCCACCTCCAACACTGGGGATCACAATTTGACATGAGATTTGGTGGGGACACAGATCCAAATCATATCAGACCATGACCAGCTGAAATGAGGTGAGATTGGCTGTTATAAGATTTCTGAAAGAAGCTAATTTCTGGGTTAAAATTCTATATTTGATTTTAAATTTTCTGGGAAGAATAATTTTTAAAAAAGAAGAACAAATCAGCAAAAACACCCTATTGCTGGAAATAAATTTCAATAGGAATTAATTCATCTCCTGACTATAATAGAAAATCTGACTAACATTGTAAAATTTTGTCATTTAATCAATTACAGTTTTGTAAATGGCATGAAAATGTTACTGAAATGCAAGATCCTATTATAAACCTTCTCAATGAAGACAGAGCAAAATACAGAAGGATACTAGGAAGACTGTTAGGATGAGATATGACGGCCTAGAAATCCTGTTCCCTGATGATCATCAAATACATGGAAAGAATTATTTCTCAAATATCAAATGGCTTAGGAGAACTTTATGCAAGACAGTACTGTAGTCAGCATACGATTGTTTTCCCTATGTTTTTATAGTATGTAGTCTGTGATGTTAGTGGAGGTTCAAAACACATTCTATAGATGGCAGAAATATGGATGCAAATTGTTCATTTCTTGTGAAAAATATACCAGCCTGACTGGTATTTTTTCTAGACAGGAAGTTAGTCTACTTTATATGTGTCCAGGTCGAGACCCACCAAATTGAGCTAATTAAACAAAAACTCAAAAACTTTCCAAGCACTTGCATATACTAACCGTATAGTATAGAAGAGCACTTCACCATGCTACAATTTACGGGAATCAATTTACATTAGGAATACAACCCTTGATTTATGATTTCTATTATTGCTCTTTGGCCAATTATTTGTCTTTTGGCTTCATTTGAGATGACTTTGGCCATATTATTTTTATTTGGTAAATTATATCTGCATTTTTCTTTGTGATCCTTGGTTCCCTGTCTTGTTTTTAGCCATATTTATTGTGTTCTTTAATATCTTCTTTTTAAAGACATAAGGAGAAAGGGTTCAATTAAATAAGATTTGCCTTTCCTAAATATATATGTACCCAATATTGGAGCACACAGATTCATCTAAAAAGTACTTACAGGTTTATAAAAAGATGTAGACAGCTACACATAATAGTGGGGGACTTCAAAACCACACTTACAGTGTTAGACAGATCTTCAAGGAAGAAAACTAAAAAAAGAAATTCTGGACTTAAATTTGACTCTTGACCAATTGGACCTAATAGACATCTAAAGAAAACTCCAACCATCAACCACAGAATACACATTCTTCACATTTGCACATGGAACATACTATAAGATCAACCACATGCTCGGCCAAAAAGCAACTCTCAATAAATTCAAAAAAATATAAATCATACCAACCATATTCTTCGACCACAGTGTAATAAAAATAGAAATCAATACCAAGAAGACTTCTGAATTTCACACAATTACAAGTTGCTCCTGAATGACTTTTGGGTAAGCAATGAAATTAAGACAGAAATAAAAAAATTCTTTGA